>NT_167245.2:3230568-3401415 GCF_000001405.40 Homo sapiens
CCATGGCTAAAGGACTCTCTGTCCAGAACGACAAACATCCAGGGTATCAACCTGCTCTTCTCCTCTCGCCGGGGGCACCTCTTTTTGCAGACGGACCAGCCCATTTACAACCCTGGCCAGCGGGGTGAGTCTCAGCCCCAGGGCCTCAACCTTTAACCCCCTCCGAGCCCTCTCAGGATGAGTTTGGTGCCCCCTAAGTGAGATAACCTGAAAGAAAGTGCCACACAGAAGGGGTGCTTAGGAAACATTTGTCCCCTGCTCCCTCTGTGGAGTTTGACCCACCCTCCCCTTGCACATGGACCCCTGCTCACCTCTCTCCTCCTCCACTCCCAGTTCGGTACCGGGTCTTTGCTCTGGATCAGAAGATGCGCCCGAGCACTGACACCATCACAGTCATGGTGGAGGTGAGTCCCCGACCTCTGGCCTTCCTGATCCTGGCCACTGATGTGACCTCCTGCCTGTGAGCACTTCTCCCCTTGCAGAACTCTCACGGCCTCCGCGTGCGGAAGAAGGAGGTGTACATGCCCTCGTCCATCTTCCAGGATGACTTTGTGATCCCAGACATCTCAGAGTGAGCGCTCCCAATGTGGGGGCTGCCCCCAAGCTACACCACCCCAATTCCTGTTAGGCTCTCCACCTCCCACACAGAGGCACGTCCCCAGATGCCCTGACCCTCAGCCTCCTGAGCCTCTGGTTAACCCCCACAGTCCTCTTCCCAGGGAAGCAGGCTGCTGGCTCTCCGTGCCCCACTGTACAGATGGGCTGAGCCCCTTCCTTGTCCATTCTCAGGCCAGGGACCTGGAAGATCTCAGCCCGATTCTCAGATGGCCTGGAATCCAACAGCAGCACCCAGTTTGAGGTGAAGAAATATGGTGAGAGCTGGAAACTGGAGGGACAGGCAGCTGCTTTCCTGAAGGAAATAAGGGTGGAAGGAGAGGTACTGGGAGCAGCTCAGGGCAGGGAGATATGGGTGCCACAGCCCTGAGCAGAGGGGAGTCTTTGAGCTGGAGTCTGACCTGCCTATCCCTTCACCCTGGGTCAGTCCTTCCCAACTTTGAGGTGAAGATCACCCCTGGAAAGCCCTACATCCTGACGGTGCCAGGCCATCTTGATGAAATGCAGTTAGACATCCAGGCCAGGTAATACCTCCCTCCCCACCTCTGCCCACCAGCACCGGGTCCTGCTCCCTACTCAGTATGAATGGGCTCCTGCTTCCCTGCCCTCGGGCCATTATTCCCCCCAGCCCTTGGCCCACCCTCTTCTCTCTGCCACGACAGGTACATCTATGGGAAGCCAGTGCAGGGGGTGGCATATGTGCGCTTTGGGCTCCTAGATGAGGATGGTAAGAAGACTTTCTTTCGGGGGCTGGAGAGTCAGACCAAGGTAGGAAGGAGAATAGGGGCTGGGGAGGGGAAGGGGCAAGGGAGGTGAGGTGGGAGACTCAGTCTCACCCTATGTCCTGTTTCTTTCTATGCCCCAGCTGGTGAATGGACAGAGCCACATTTCCCTCTCAAAGGCAGAGTTCCAGGACGCCCTGGAGAAGCTGAATATGGGCATTACTGACCTCCAGGGGCTGCGCCTCTACGTTGCTGCAGCCATCATTGAGTATCCAGGTGGGTGACTTTCCCTTATTGTAACCCCAGACCCTTGCCTCTGACCTCTGAGCTAACCCTCTGTCCTCCAGCACCAACACCACCCCACTTCTCACATCTCATCTCAGACTCAAAACCAGGAAACACCCAGGAGACCTGGTTTCTCTCCAACTCTGTCTCTGTGACTCGGCCCTTTTCCCTGGCTGAGTTTATTTATTTCTTTGCTCGTTCTGCTCATTCCTTCACTCCTCCAGTGGACATGTGTTGTTCAATGCCCCGTGCTAGGCCTCAGCATGCACAGACATGTTGGGGACCAGCCTCAACGCCACCCGTAGGGTTCCTGAAGTCCATTGGTGACACAGGAATGAGAAGAGACAGGTTAAGAGTTCATAAAGAGTGGGGGCCAGGGGGCCAATTGCAAAATGGAGGCTGCAAAAGGCTCAGAGCTCTGGTCTCCACACTATTTTTTGAGTACAGTCACTCAGATCTAAGAAGCAGATGTTCAGGGAGAAACAGTGAAAGGGAGGCAGTGGGTCATAGGCGTAATCTATAGCAATAGAGTTTTAAATGAATCTCCTTTGTGCTCAAACAGCATGTCTTTAAATTATCGGAGAGTAGCTGGTGGAAGTGGGCTTAGCTAGAAGACTGCATGTCTGTCCAATGCTTCAAAGGAGGGTCTTTCTCCTTGAACACAGTGTTTACAGATAAGACAGGGGGTCTCACTCTGAGCATGGGAACATGATGGCAATTAGGAGGCTTTTCTTCTCAGAGGCCTCTTGTGGCTTTCCACAACTTATTGTCTCATATTTTTATGGCCAGTTTATACAGGCACCCCACAAGTCCTTTTCCCAACATGCCCCCCTCCCTTTTTTTTTTTTTAACCGCTATTGCTATTATGGCTTATTTGTGGTGTTTGGTCTGTTTTCAGAAGTGTCTTTTGCATCTGTAGACTAAAAGTAAACAGCATAAACAGATACACATTAAAGTAAAATTTGTAATAGTTGATCCTTTAATGGTCTTAATCTGTTTAAGAGGATTTATGTTTGAAAGTCCGTCAGTAGCTCCAATGAGAATGTCAGTCTCAGGCAGGAGGGTTAAATGAGCCTGAGATGCTTTAAAAACCTGTTTTTTTAAAATTTGGTTATATTTAATGTTAAATTTTTATTTTTTTCTTTTAGATGATGTCTAACTTTTTAAAAATGATGTTTAGTAGTATTATACGAATGGGGAGTTATGTAGAAATTGGAAGTATTTCAATTACATTGTACTTCTAATTGATGTTTTAAGTTTATTGTACGATCTTCCATTTAAATAACAGTCTGTCTAAGATCATTTGTTTGATTTGTCAATTGTTGGTCTATTTGGGTCTGAGAATTCCACAATTTTGAGGAATTTTTTGTTAACTATTTATATATTTTGTAGTTTGAACAGAGGAGTGTAAAGCAATTCCAGCAGCCGCAGCAGTAGCTGTGACTGCAATAAGGCCCATAAGACTGTTATAAGGGTAAAAATAAATCTCTTTGTTTTGGTAAACACTTTTTTTTAAAACATTTTTGTGACAATATGAATGGAAGGAGAGGCTTTCTAAGGTCTATTGAGGGAAACCAGTATCCAAACTCCTTTCTTAGTTTTTATCAGTAACACAGATGTTTTTACACCGAACGTGGAATTAATACAGGTGAAAAGGTGACAGTTTTGACAAGTAATAGTTTGAGAATTAGGTCGAATGTCAATATTTTTGACCATTAACATAAAAGGAGGGTTGACACAACTCTGAATGGGCACTGTTTTGTTGGAAGAAAACTGATACGCAAATTGAAGTTTTTAACCTTTTTTTTTTAAAGATAATATATTTTTTTCTAAACTTAAATATGAGATTGGGCCATTATTAACTTTCATAATTTGGAGTGTTTAGGGCCTATTATTGGATTAATTATTTTGGGATGTGGGCCAGCTGTACTAAAATTGGTCCAAATTATGGGAAAATGAGCACGTTTTTCAGTGTAAGTAGTGTTACCTTTTTGATAGTATAGTTTCTGTTTTAGTTTTGTCTTGTATTTATTATTTTGATGGGTACAATTAACTGTAAAGGTCCCCTCAGGGGACCAATTAATGACAATTTCATAGGAATTATTTTGTAGTACCATAGTGTGATCAGAGATGTAATTTTTTTTAATTAATATTTTTAAATTATTTGACCATTGTTAAGGTTGTTGGCACCTCTTTTTTGGGGGCTTAAACTGTTAATTGAATTGAACTCTGTGAATGATCCGGGCTCCATCCAGAAAATAAATGATAGGATACTGGTCTTTGATTATGACCTGGAATTTTAACTAGTCAATGTTGTCGGTAGCCTTTTAGGCAACCGATAGTTGGCCTTATGTAAAGAGGGGGGAACTGATAACCTATGGACACATTTATTAACTTTTTTTTTTTTCCTTTGGGTGAGAGGGCCCATGAGTATTTGTAGGCTTAGGGATCCAAACGCTATTATTAACATAAACTTCAACTGGGGGTTTTAACCATGTGACAGGCCTAATTAAAGGCAGGAATGGGACACATGCCCAATAGGTATAATTTTGGGCTGTTGTAGCCACAGGTTTGTTAGGCGAGGAGGTCACTGTTTTTATTTTGGCTTTGTATTCTAGGATTAGTAAATAACAGAAGACAAACATGAGTATAATTAGTAACTTTTTTTTTTAGTAAAAGAGTGACCTGTAGTGTTACTTGGCATCTTAGTTTACTATATGTTATTAATGAGGAACCCCACTGGGGGTATGTTAATTTATTCTAGCTAAGCAGTTATGTTATTAGAAGCTGAGAAGGGGGTGTTTGTTAAAGTAACAGGGCAGAAGAAAGGCGGATTTAAGATACGAGCTTAATACAGTGTAGCAGGTATAGGTAGTAGGCAAAGTGAGAGAATTAAAAATGAATAAATTATTTGGCTTAGACTTTTGTTTTTTTAGTATAATGTCTGAGGCCTGTGTTGTTTGTGGAAGTCGCATTGTTGAGGCTGTAGTTCCTGTAGGGTCTTTTTTAGGCTGGTTCAAATGTTTTTTTATTTTTTAATTTTTTATCCTTTGATGAGGATGTAGTCTTTAGGCTGGTACTGGAAATTTTAGGAGTGGCGTCTGTGTTAAGAGACTTTTTACAATTTTTAAAGAGCAGGTTAGTGTTTTAAGAAAAACTTGTGTTTTATTTTAATGTTTAGTTTATAGAAAACTGGATGATATCTTTTTAACTTTAGTAAATACGTTTACACACGGAATTTTTTACAATTATCATTTTAAAACTTGTTTAGATCTTTAAAACAAAATTAAACAACCTTTTTTGTATAAATTTTTTATAACTTTTTTTATGACTTTTACAGACAATTTTTAACATGTCTTAACTTTTTATGTTTTATAATTTTTTTACTAAAGGTACATTTTTATAACTTTTTAAATTTTTTTACTTTTTTTGTATTTTTTTGATTTTTGTCTTAGTCTTTTTTTTACTTTTATTTTTTTAAATGTGTAATAATTAGATGAGTGTTGGTAACAATGGATATATGTACATATTTTAGTTTTTAAAATTTAGGGATGTGTTTAACATCTGTTTGCCAGAACTGACTAGGTTCCAATTCTTTACGGTTAACACCTATTGAAGGAGGGTATGTGCCTGTGAGCTGGTAATCTGG
Source organism: Homo sapiens (assembly GCF_000001405.40). Lineage (NCBI taxonomy): Eukaryota > Metazoa > Chordata > Mammalia > Primates > Hominidae > Homo > Homo sapiens. Next base: position 3,235,840 of record NT_167245.2, read on the forward strand.
GCATTGTGGGATAATTTGTTTAGCCAGCCTCTGTGTAAGTTGAAATTATTTAGATAAGTTTCTCCAATTTTGGTGGAATAATCGATGTGATTGGGTGGCTTGGTCAAGCAGTGATGTCATAACCTGAAGGTCTGCTTGATTATTGCCGTAAGCCAATGGGCCAGGCAGAGAGCTGTGGGCTCGAATGTGTGTAATAAAAGTAGGATGTGTACCTTGGTCTAGTAATTGTTGAAGTTGAAGAAAAAGACCACACAGAGTGGGCTCCAGAGCAAACTTAAGGCTGTAATAGTTTTTAAATAAATACACAGAATAACCTTAGCTCTCTGAATGTTAGTAAATTCAGATCAAGTGATTGGATTATGTGGTCTCCACCAGACTGTTGCTTTTTCATGTTTACCAGACCCACCAGTAAAAACAGCTATGGCTCCTTCCAAAGGGGCATCACAAGTAATTTTTGGAAGAACCTATGTAGTTAATTTTAAGAATTGAAAAGTTTTTAGGATAATGATTATTAATACATCCAACAAATTTTGTTAAATTAATCTGTCATGTAACTGAGTTAATAAATGCCTGTTTAACCTGATTTTTATTTATTGGAACTATAATTTTTATTGGGCTCAGTGCCACAAAGTTTAATAATTCATATATGAGCCTGTCCAATTAGAATTGCCATCTGATTTAAGTATACTGTAAGTGCTTTTATGGTATTATGTGGCAAAAAGGACCATTTAACTAAATCATCATTTTGAACAATAACCCCCATTATTGTGTGGTTAGTGTGAAGTAGGGAACACAATGAATTATAAAGGCAAGTCTGAGTCAATCCTACTGACCTGGGCTTGCTGAATTTTGTTTTCAATTACTGATAACTCTTTCATGGCCTCGGGTGTTAGTTCTCTGTTACTGCGTAAGTTGGTATTTCCCCTCAATATTGAGAAGAGATTAGACATAGCATAAGTAGGAATTGCTAAATTGGGCCAAATCCAATTAATATCTTCTAACAATTTTTGAAAATTATTTAAGGTTTTGAAAGAATCTCTTCTAATTTGAACCTTTTGAGGCTTAATGGCTCTATCCTGTACTTGTATTTTCAAATACTGAAAAGGAGTGGTTGTTTGAATTTTGTCAGGTGCTATAAGTAATTCAGCATTTGTAATTGTCTTTTGCAAAGATTAATAATATTGAATAAGTTGGTCTCTACTTTTTGCTGCACAAATCTGGAAACTGATCTCTAACAGGCTGGATAGTTCTGCCTACAAAAGTTTGACAAACTGTGGGACTATTTAACATACCCTGGGGCAAAACTTTCCAATGATATTTGGCTGCAGGTTTTTTGTTATTAACGGCAGGAATGGTAAAGGCAAATTTTTTGAAATCTGCCTCTGCTAAAGGAATTGTAAAAAAGCAGTCTTTTAAATCTATAATAACAAGCGGTCAGTCTTTAGGGAGCACAGTGGGGGATGGGAGCCCAGGTTGTAAGGCTCCCATCGGTTGAATTACAGCGTTGACGCCATCTACCGGACTTTTTCTTAATTACAAATACTGGGGAATTCCAAGGAGAGAAAGTGGGTGAAATATATCCTTTTTTTAGTAGTTTATTTTATAAAGCACCCCCAACTTTTCCTTAGGGAGCGGCCACTGTTCAACCCAGACGGGGCGCCGGGTCATCCATTTTAAGGGAAATTGCTCCTTCACTGTAATAACTGTAGGGTGAACCTGAATTGCCCCATCTCCATAATGAACTGTGGGTCGGGCAATAATGGGCACGGTGAGCCAAGTCTCGGGCTCCCTCCCCCTGCACCCACTCGGCTGAGGAGGAGGTGGCCATTCTGGACATTCCTCTACAGGAACCGTGGGCTGAACAATTTTTTGAGTAGGTTTAGGGAGACTGGGGAGATTGGCATAAATCATCTTCAGACTCTCCTTTTTGTTAGTACTCGGTAGAGGTGGTTCAGAGTTCTGATTATCAAACTCCTCTCTCTCCTCCTCTGACTCAGCCTCATTATCTGTCTGAAAAGGCTCCAGTGCTGCATGCACCAATGACCAAAGCGACCAAACAGGCAAAGGAATTTCCTTTCCTTCTCTATATGCTCTTTTAAGGTCCTTTCCAACTCCTTCTTAATGTTTTAATTTCAAAGTTTCCTGTTTTGGGAACCAAGGGCAAAATTGTTCCATAGCATGAAACAAATCCATAAGATTTTCCGTATCAACTTTTACCCCACCATGCATGCTTGAAGAGCTGCCGTAGGAAGCTCAAATACGTGGTGTACTTACTTTCAGTTTTTCCCATTGTGTCCCTAGCTTTCTCTGGGCGCCCCGCTTACCTGTAGAGGTTAAAACTTTTATGTCCTTGGGAGTCCTTTGTTCGTTGGTCCTCTGTTTCACATGCTTGAGCGTTTCCTCACCAGATTCTTTTGGGCCCCACGTTGGGCGCCAGAATGTTGGGGACCAGCCTCAACACCACCTGTAGGGTACCTGAAGTCTGGTGGTGACAAAGGAATGAGAAGAGACAGGTTAAGAGTTCATAAAGAGTGGAGGCCAGGGGGCCAATTGCAAAATGGAGGCTGCAAAAGGCTCAGAGCTCTGGTCTCCACACTATTTATTGAGTACAATAACTTAGATCTAAGAAGCAGATGTTCAGGGCAAAACAGTGAAAGGGTAGCAGTGCGTCACAGGCATAATCTACAGCAGAAGCGCTTTAAATGAATCTCCTTTGTGCTCAAACAGCATATCTTTAACTTATCGGAGAGTAGCTAGTGGGAGTGGGCTTAACTAGGAGCCTGCACGTCTGTCCACATTCCAATGCTTCAAAGGAGGGTCTTTCTCCTTGAATACAGTGTTTACAGATAAGAGAGAGCAGGTCTCGCTCTGAGCATGGCAATTAGGAGGCTTTTCTCCTCAGAGGCCTCTTGTGGCTTTCCACAACTTATTGTCCCATATTTTTATGGCCAGTTTATACAGGCACCCCACAAGTCCTTTTCCCAACACAGACAGGAATACGGCAGCCTGTGCCCTGGGAGCTCACTGTCTTGTGGGAGGGAACCACTCAAGCCACTCCCCACTTGTCCTCCTGTCCCTCTCTTCTTGGGCTCTGTCCCCCACCTCTCTCTGTCCTTTGTCTTGCAGGTGGGGAGATGGAGGAGGCAGAGCTCACATCCTGGTATTTTGTGTCATCTCCCTTCTCCTTGGATCTTAGCAAGACCAAGCGACACCTTGTGCCTGGGGCCCCCTTCCTGCTGCAGGTTTCTTCCAGAGGGGAAGGATGAGTAGGGAGGATGTGGTAGTTAGGAGGGCTCAGGGTCTGACCACTCTCTTTTGCCTGCCCTCCTTTACCTGCCTAGGCCTTGGTCCGTGAGATGTCAGGCTCCCCAGCTTCTGGCATTCCTGTCAAAGTTTCTGCCACGGTGTCTTCTCCTGGGTCTGTTCCTGAAGTCCAGGACATTCAGCAAAACACAGACGGGAGCGGCCAAGTCAGCATTCCAATAATTATCCCTCAGACCATCTCAGAGCTGCAGCTCTCAGTAGGACTCCTTGGACCCCTGGGAGATGGTGGGGGAAGGGGAGGAGGGTGAGCTGGGGTCCCAAGGATCCATGGCCTGACTTGGGGGGAAGGTGGGGTACTTGGCTCTGAGCTACTACCCTATTCGCACCTGACCCCCTCTCCAGGTATCTGCAGGCTCCCCACATCCAGCGATAGCCAGGCTCACTGTGGCAGCCCCACCTTCAGGAGGCCCCGGGTTTCTGTCTATTGAGTGGCCGGATTCTCGACCTCCTCGTGTTGGGGACACTCTGAACCTGAACTTGCGAGCCGTGGGCAGTGGGGCCACCTTTTCTCATTACTACTACATGGTGTGCATGAGCTGGGGAGTCACGGAGGGCTGGGGTGCAGGGAAGAGCCCTCTGGGTGGGGCTGGGGGGGTTCAAGGCTGAGGCTGTCCCATGAAGAGGCAACCACTCTTGTCCCTCCCATTCTTGGCCCAGATCCTATCCCGAGGGCAGATCGTGTTCATGAATCGAGAGCCCAAGAGGACCCTGACCTCGGTCTCGGTGTTTGTGGACCATCACCTGGCACCCTCCTTCTACTTTGTGGCCTTCTACTACCATGGAGACCACCCAGTGGCCAACTCCCTGCGAGTGGATGTCCAGGCTGGGGCCTGCGAGGGCAAGGTGACCGGGGTCAGGAGAGATGGCACTTGTGCCGAGGGGGTTGAGGACAGGGTGATTGCCAACAGGGCATGGATTTAGCTTGGGGGCAGTGAGGATACCGGGACTGAAGGAAGCTCTCCCACTCTGACCGCCCCCACCTGCCGCCCCTGCCAGCTGGAGCTCAGCGTGGACGGTGCCAAGCAGTACCGGAACGGGGAGTCCGTGAAGCTCCACTTAGAAACCGACTCCCTAGCCCTGGTGGCGCTGGGAGCCTTGGACACAGCTCTGTATGCTGCAGGCAGCAAGTCCCACAAGCCCCTCAACATGGGCAAGGTTTGTCCAGACCCTCTCCACAGCTCTCTCACCCCTCCATGGCTCATCCCCCTGCTTCCCTGAGCCTTGGGCGCAGCCCCTGGATCCCACTGAGGCTCCCCACAGTCTCTTCCCCACTTGGCCCTGTGGTCTCCATCTCCTGGCTCTGTATCCTTTCCTATCCCCCCATGTGCTGCCCTCTCACCTGTGCCGAGTGCTCAGTCCTGCCCCTCAGCCACACTTGGCTCCTAGCATTCCTGCCTTTCTTGCAGGTCTTTGAAGCTATGAACAGCTATGACCTCGGCTGTGGTCCTGGGGGTGGGGACAGTGCCCTTCAGGTGTTCCAGGCAGCGGGCCTGGCCTTTTCTGATGGAGACCAGTGGACCTTATCCAGAAAGAGTGAGAACAGAGAGGGAAGGGGAGTGGGTGGCGGGAAGATAAGGAAGGAGGAAGGGCCTGAGGGGACCAGCTGGAAGAGTCCGGGCAGGAAGGGCTGGGCAGGGGAAGGGGAGGAGGGGAGGAGGCCGAGTGCCTGACGGCTGGACTGCAGCCTTTCTCTCTACCAGGACTAAGCTGTCCCAAGGAGAAGACAACCCGGAAAAAGAGAAACGTGAACTTCCAAAAGGCGATTAATGAGAAATGTGAGTTGCGGGTGCCTAGGCAGTAGCTTGGGCTCTCCACCTGGGATCCGGGTTGGGGGTCTGCCTCTCTGCCCCTCAGCTCCTTGCTGAACCCACGTGTGGTATTTGGGGCCAGAGATCCGAATTCCGGGATTACGAGTGGAAGGTGGGCAGCTCTCTCCAGCAGCCTCTCTTATGTTGCTGGTCTCAAGGGGTCGGGGCGGGGGCTGAGGTGTATGTCCTTTTTGTCCTCTCATGCTCACCCCCACCTGGCCCTGCAGTGGGTCAGTATGCTTCCCCGACAGCCAAGCGCTGCTGCCAGGATGGGGTGACACGTCTGCCCATGATGCGTTCCTGCGAGCAGCGGGCAGCCCGCGTGCAGCAGCCGGACTGCCGGGAGCCCTTCCTGTCCTGCTGCCAATTTGCTGAGAGTCTGCGCAAGAAGAGCAGGGACAAGGGCCAGGCGGGCCTCCAACGAGGTGAGGGGCTGGGTGGGGCTAGGGCACAGGTGGCGGCGCTTGGAAAGGCAGAACGGTCCCCTCCTCACTCCCGTCCACCGTGGTCCCCCAGCCCTGGAGATCCTGCAGGAGGAGGACCTGATTGATGAGGATGACATTCCCGTGCGCAGCTTCTTCCCAGAGAACTGGCTCTGGAGAGTGGAAACAGTGGACCGCTTTCAAATGTGAGAGTGTGTGCCGGCCCGGCCTTTTCTCTGTGCTGTGTCTCGGGGCCAGCCGGGGTAGACGGGCCTTCTCTGCCTTTCCCTACACAGATTGACACTGTGGCTCCCCGACTCTCTGACCACGTGGGAGATCCATGGCCTGAGCCTGTCCAAAACCAAAGGTGATGTCACCCTGTCTGGGCCTCAGGTGACCCTGCTTCCATTTCCCTGTACCCCAGCTCCCTGTTCCCTTTGCTCTTAGTGTAGGAAGAGGGTCCAGTGATCTGGGGAGGTCTGTGCCAGCGTGCAGCTGGCGTGGGCCAGAGGGCAGAGGCGGACTGAGACAGAGCTGGGTCACCCCCACCCCTCCCTCCTGTGGCCCTGAAGCTTTGATGGCCCCTCTGATCTCTGCCCCTGTGCCCACGCTTCCTTTCCCTCAGGCCTATGTGTGGCCACCCCAGTCCAGCTCCGGGTGTTCCGCGAGTTCCACCTGCACCTCCGCCTGCCCATGTCTGTCCGCCGCTTTGAGCAGCTGGAGCTGCGGCCTGTCCTCTATAACTACCTGGATAAAAACCTGACTGTGAGGCCCCATGGGAGCCTGAGCATACAGGAGTTGGGGGAGCCAGGGCCCAGTGAGGGGTGGGGAGGCTAACCGGGCCAGGACTCTGGCCATCCTCGTTTTCCTGCCCTCAGGTGAGCGTCCACGTGTCCCCAGTGGAGGGGCTGTGCCTGGCTGGGGGCGGAGGGCTGGCCCAGCAGGTGCTGGTGCCTGCGGGCTCTGCCCGGCCTGTTGCCTTCTCTGTGGTGCCCACGGCAGCCGCCGCTGTGTCTCTGAAGGTGGTGGCTCGAGGGTCCTTCGAATTCCCTGTGGGAGATGCGGTGTCCAAGGTTCTGCAGATTGAGGTGAATGGAGCACCCCTGAATATAAGTCCCCGGGCCCCCAGCTTTGTCCTCCACCCTCAGCACTCTCTCTGCTGGCCAGGCCAGGGGCCCAACACCCGAACCAATGCCTTGGTCTGTTCCCATCTTCTACAATTCTGATCCAACTCTGTCCCTGGAGTTGAAACTCAAAGTTCTGGGGGAGTCTGTGCTAGCAGGGCAGGCTGTAGTCCTGTGTGACCTCACAACCATGTTTTCCCTGAGACAGAAGGAAGGGGCCATCCATAGAGAGGAGCTGGTCTATGAACTCAACCCCTTGGGTGAGTGACCCTCTACCTCCAGCCATTGGTTTCCTAAGTGGGTACAGGTGGTGGGGGATGTGGACAGCAGGACAGGCTGCCAACTTCCCCCATTTCCCCAGACCACCGAGGCCGGACCTTGGAAATACCTGGCAACTCTGATCCCAATATGATCCCTGATGGGGACTTTAACAGCTACGTCAGGGTTACAGGTGGGAGTGCCCTTTAGTCCCTTCCCAGTGGCCACCTTCGGATTCATGTGGGACCTGTGGATCCCTGCTTGGTCCCACTCCCCGTGAGCCTCTGACACAGAGTCCTCAGACCTCCACCCTCTCCCTCCCATGTAGCCTCAGATCCATTGGACACTTTAGGCTCTGAGGGGGCCTTGTCACCAGGAGGCGTGGCCTCCCTCTTGAGGCTTCCTCGAGGCTGTGGGGAGCAAACCATGATCTACTTGGCTCCGACACTGGCTGCTTCCCGCTACCTGGACAAGACAGAGCAGTGGAGCACACTGCCTCCCGAGACCAAGGACCACGCCGTGGATCTGATCCAGAAAGGTTCTGGGTGCAAGGGCAAGCAGGAGGGGGGCCAGGAAAGGACAGTTACTGGAAGATGGACAGCCCAGGAGGCTACAGAGGGAAAGAAAGGGGGCCCCTGATGAGGATGGGGAGCATGGCCTTGGGCTCAAACAGCAGAAGGGTGAGTGTCACCTGAGCGGCCACCTCTCCTCTCCAAGGCTACATGCGGATCCAGCAGTTTCGGAAGGCGGATGGTTCCTATGCGGCTTGGTTGTCACGGGACAGCAGCACCTGGTGAGCTTGGGAGAGTGGTTCCAGGGTTCTGAGGGGGTCAGGGCTGGGGCAGGGGTGGGACAGAGCTGGTATGATGGGAGGGTGGATAACCAGGCACCTGGGGGCGTGGGCATAATGAGAAGCAAGTCCTTATCCCCAACCCTCCTTTCCTGCCCTCCAGGCTCACAGCCTTTGTGTTGAAGGTCCTGAGTTTGGCCCAGGAGCAGGTAGGAGGCTCGCCTGAGAAACTGCAGGAGACATCTAACTGGCTTCTGTCCCAGCAGCAGGCTGACGGCTCGTTCCAGGACCCCTGTCCAGTGTTAGACAGGAGCATGCAGGTGCGGGCATGCTGGGGCTGGCCCGAGAAGCGCCTGTCGGAGGACTCTCTTTGCCCCTTCCCCCTCCTGTTTGACATCTTTTCTCCCCTTACTAGGGGGGTTTGGTGGGCAATGATGAGACTGTGGCACTCACAGCCTTTGTGACCATCGCCCTTCATCATGGGCTGGCCGTCTTCCAGGATGAGGGTGCAGAGCCATTGAAGCAGAGAGTGGTAAGTTCAGTGGCGTTTCTGCCCTCTGCTGGCCCCCAGCTCTCTCCCTTTTTCCTCAGGAACCCAGGGGTCCAGGCCCAAGACCCTCCTCCCGTTTTCTTCCAGGAAGCCTCCATCTCAAAGGCAAACTCATTTTTGGGGGAGAAAGCAAGTGCTGGGCTCCTGGGTGCCCACGCAGCTGCCATCACGGCCTATGCCCTGACACTGACCAAGGCGCCTGTGGACCTGCTCGGTGTTGCCCACAACAACCTCATGGCAATGGCCCAGGAGACTGGAGGTGAGGGGTGAGGCGCTCCTGGCAGTGAGCCTGAGGCCCAGGGGACCTTAGGATCCCTGAGTGTGCCCAGAGGGAGAGGCTGGATGAAGACTCAGAGGAGGAATGAAGTTATAAGCAGGGGTGGGTTGGGGGAGACTCAGGAGAGCCCAGCAGGGGGTGGCTAAGGGCCAGGGGACCAGGCTCTTCTCCCTGCCTTCCTGTTTACTCGTGGTCTCCCTTCACTTTCAGATAACCTGTACTGGGGCTCAGTCACTGGTTCTCAGAGCAATGCCGTGTCGCCCACCCCGGCTCCTCGCAACCCATCCGACCCCATGCCCCAGGCCCCAGCCCTGTGGATTGAAACCACAGCCTACGCCCTGCTGCACCTCCTGCTTCACGAGGGCAAAGCAGAGATGGCAGACCAGGCTGCGGCCTGGCTCACCCGTCAGGGCAGCTTCCAAGGGGGATTCCGCAGTACCCAAGTAGGGGCCGTCCCCGGGCTCTGGGGGGGGTGGGTAGTCCTCAGACCAAGGGCTTGCTTGAGTCCTGGCTCAACCTCCCTAGGACACGGTGATTGCCCTGGATGCCCTGTCTGCCTACTGGATTGCCTCCCACACCACTGAGGAGAGGGGTCTCAATGTGACTCTCAGCTCCACAGGCCGGAATGGGTTCAAGTCCCACGCGCTGCAGCTGAACAACCGCCAGATTCGCGGCCTGGAGGAGGAGCTGCAGGTGAACCACTCCCTGGTGAACCACTCCCTCGCCTGGGTAGCCAGGACACCTGGGCCTCGTGGCCAGGCCAGAAGCCGTCCCCACCCTCCCACCCGTGGAATCCCCGCAGCACTTCTTCCTGGGGTCTTCGGGGGAAGACTGACTTCCTGGCTGCGTGACCTGGAGCTCTGAGCTTCAGTTTTCTCACTTGTAGAGTAACATACACAGAGTTCACCCTACAGGGTCGTTAGAAGGCTGAAGTGAGATAATTCATGTGCTGGTATAAACTTTGTGGAAATGTGAGGTGGGGAGAGGAGGTGGGGCTGTTTTGAGGAAGGAGATAAGTTATTGGAGCCGCAAAAACAGGTTTGCTTGTGCCCTTCTAACATCGCCTTCCCTTTTCTGTTGCTGAAGTTTTCCTTGGGCAGCAAGATCAATGTGAAGGTGGGAGGAAACAGCAAAGGAACCCTGAAGGTGAGGGCCAGGGAAGGGGTGGGGCCAGGCACTGGTGGAGGAGAGGGTGTGGAGTGAGAGGCCTGTGGGCAGAGGCACATGGTCCGGGGAAGGAGGCAGACACCTCAGGGTTGGTGTCCCGTGCTTCCGTCCTGGGTGTTTTTCCCCCTGCTTGCTTTCGCTTGCTCTCCCCATCTCTGGGTACCTGTTGTTTCCTTTACCCGCCTCAGTGCTGGTGGCTCCGAATCCCACTCCTCAGCCCAGGCCTCTTCCCTGAACCATGGGCCCCACTCGTCCCACTCCCACAGCACCTCAGACGAGGCATGTCCCAAAGCCCTTCTTCATTCTGTGTCTCTTGTCTGGCTGGTGGGAGCCCCTCCCAGCCAGGAGCCCAGCCACTACTCTAGAGGCCGTGTTAGTGGCCCCTCTCCCAAGCCTGTCCTTATGTCCCTAGTGACTCCTCCTCTGCTCCCCTGCTGCCTGTGGCCCTTGGTGCTGCATCCTAGATTCTGTGCTGAGACGGCCTTCTCCCTACCTGGAACTTCTCTCTACCTCCTGTCTCCCCTGTCTGATCCACTGTCCACACGGCAGTGACACTGACCTTCCAAAAGCCCCAGCCAGATCAGCCTTGGGGAAAAGTCACTCCCCGCTGCCCACGGCTCAGATGGCTGGGCCTCTGCCCACCCCTCCGGCCAGACAGCTCTCCTTGTCTACACAGATCCCCTTGCCTTTCCTGTCCTTCCCTGCTTCTTGGCCCACAGGACAAGCTCTTTCTTCTCCTTCAAGCCTTGGCCAGAAGCCTTTCCTGAGCTTTTCAGTCCAGCCTCTTCCCAGCACAGTCTGGAGTGTTGGCCTCTGGGGGCAGGCCCCTGCTTCTTTACCTCTCTGTCTCGCCTGACGCCTGTGGCGAATGTGGTGCCACTCGTGTGTGTGGACTGTGCAGTGACGGGGAGGAAAAGGGGCTGAAGGCCTCAAATCCCGTAGCCCAGGGAGATGCCCTTAGGTATGGCACCAGAGAGGTCTGTGGCCTCACATGTCCCACGTCCTCTCCCTGCCCCTTGCTGAGCCAGGTCCTTCGTACCTACAATGTCCTGGACATGAAGAACACGACCTGCCAGGACCTACAGATAGAAGTGACAGTCAAAGGCCACGTCGAGTACACGAGTGAGTGTGGGGGTTGGGAGGCCTTGGGGCCAGGCAGGGGCTGGCGCAGGGAGCCGGGTGGCCATCCCAGCCCTCCTCACAATGCTTCCCTGTGCAGTGGAAGCAAACGAGGACTATGAGGACTATGAGTACGATGAGCTTCCAGCCAAGGATGACCCAGATGCCCCTCTGCAGCCCGTGACACCCCTGCAGCTGTTTGAGGGTCGGAGGAACCGCCGCAGGAGGGAGGCGCCCAAGGTGGTGGAGGAGCAGGAGTCCAGGGTGCACTACACCGTGTGCATCTGGTGGGCGCCGGGAGCTGCCCTGGGCCAGGGGAGGGAGGGCAGGACCCAGGCTGGGGCTGGGCTTCTGGAGCCCGCGCAGGCAGAACCTGGACGACAGCTCACACGTCTCCACAGGCGGAACGGCAAGGTGGGGCTGTCTGGCATGGCCATCGCGGACGTCACCCTCCTGAGTGGATTCCACGCCCTGCGTGCTGACCTGGAGAAGGTGTGGTCAGCCACCCAGGGCAACCCCCTCTGTCCCAGGTACTGAGCCCTGTCATGTGCAGGGCCTGTGACCAACTCCCCTTTTCCACAGCTGACCTCCCTCTCTGACCGTTACGTGAGTCACTTTGAGACCGAGGGGCCCCACGTCCTGCTGTATTTTGACTCGGTGAGTGGGGAGAGATGAGGCAGGAAGGGACTCGATGGCACCGGGTTTACTGAGTATGCGTTAGGAGGTTTCTCAGGAGACAGCTGTGTCAGCGGCTGGTGCTCTTGAGAACTTGTGATGTCATCAGAGAGAAGGACAAGAATGTGAGCCCGTGAGACACAGCAGAGTAAGGGGCAGACCTGCAGGCGGCAGGGACCGATGCCAGTCAGCAGGGACCCTCAGGGTTTGAGAGGGAGTCTTTCCTAATGCTGGTTTTATTCAGCTTGAGGGGCTGCCTTTGTTTTTTTGTTGAACTTCCTATCTTTTTTTTAATATTAAAGCGTATTTTCCTTTACAAAGTGATGGTGGCCATAGATGATAGTTGTATTTGTCTTTTCACGACCTTATTTGGCTAAAATAGTTATCAACCCTCTTACGGCTCTCAAAACATTTTTATTTATTTATTTAGTAAAGACAGGGTCTCGCTCTGTTGCCCAGGCTGGTCTTGAACTCCCGGCCTCAAGCGATCCTCTGGCCTAGGCCTTTCAAAGTACCGGATTTACAGGCCAGAGCCACCATGCCCGGCCTTCAAAAAAAGTTTTGGAACATTTACTGTAACCTCTGGGAGAAAATGTGAGAAAGGTGTGGTGGCTGTCATTAGCCAGCTGTTTGTAGGTCAGGGAGACCCCTACCCAGTGTGTGCAGAGGGGCCAGCCCCCATCAGCTGGGGAAGCCTGGCTGACACATCTGGGTTGAACACAATAGAAAACACAGAGCCAACAAGATTCCCGGATAGGGAGCTGACGGTGCAGCAGCCTAGCTCAGGAGGGACACTGGCACGGCACCGTGTGGACTGGGCCCGCGTGGGCACGAGGAGGGGTCAGGCCTGGGACCTGAGTCGGGGGGTCAGGCAGGATGACAGAACCTGCAGTTAGGTTGTGGCAAATAAAGGAGGACCCAGTTGTATCCATGACAAAGATGAGGCCGCGAGGAGGGCGAGTGGGTTTGGGGGCAGGCAGAGTGCCTTGGAGAACTTACAGGTCCTGCCACAATCCTAATGCAAGGATGGAGCTGCAAGTTCAGTTTGGGAATCATCAGCCTGGATTGGTTTGGTGGAAGCCAGGGAGTGGTTGAGACCCCCACAGGGGAGCTCTGAGGAAGGAAGTTCCGAAGGAGGGAACGTAAGAAATGACCAGGTCAGAACCAAGGGTGGTCCAGAAGCTAACCCTTAGCTTAGGGACAGTTTCACAGAGAACACGTCCATGATGCAAGACTCTGCTGAGGGCCTGGAGCAGTGAAGACTGGGGCAAGGTCACCCTCTGGGAAGTGAAGTCACCAGAGACCTTGCGGAGCAGCTTTGAGAGTTCTCTGAGTAGGAAGGTAACAGAATGTGAAGGACACTGGAGAGAAGGCCAATAGGAAGCAAACAAAAACAGGCCAAGGAAACCCAGTACAGGGGGCTGCAGGGCCCAGGGAGTGGGTCCCTCATCTCTCCTCCCCACGCTTGGCCAGGTCCCCACCTCCCGGGAGTGCGTGGGCTTTGAGGCTGTGCAGGAAGTGCCGGTGGGGCTGGTGCAGCCGGCCAGCGCAACCCTGTACGACTACTACAACCCCGGTGAGCACTGCAGGACACCCTGAAATTCAGGAGAACTTTGGCATAGGTGCCCTCCTATGGGACAATGGACACCGGGGTAGTGAGGGGGCAGAGAGCCCTGGGGCTCCCTGGGACTGAGGAGGCAGAATGGAGGGGCCTGTGCCCTAACTCCTCTCTGTTCTCCAGAGCGCAGATGTTCTGTGTTTTACGGGGCACCAAGTAAGAGCAGACTCTTGGCCACCTTGTGTTCTGCTGAAGTCTGCCAGTGTGCTGAGGGTGAGACTGAGGGCCTGGGGCGGGGCAGTGGAGGCGGGATGGCCGGGGCCCCCCCCACACTGTCTGATGGGTTCCCCAACTTCAGGGAAGTGCCCTCGCCAGCGTCGCGCCCTGGAGCGGGGTCTGCAGGACGAGGATGGCTACAGGATGAAGTTTGCCTGCTACTACCCCCGTGTGGAGTACGGTCAGTCTTCCCACCGAGGCCCTGGCCTGACCCTCCCTCGGGGACCGGCTGTTTTGGTCTCTCTGGGTGTAGCCTGCTCCTCTTACAGGTCATGCACGCAGCCTGTTTGCTCTGACACCAACTTCCTACCCTCTCAGCCTCAAAGTAACTCACCTTTCCCCCTTCTCCTCACCCCCTCTTAGGCTTCCAGGTTAAGGTTCTCCGAGAAGACAGCAGAGCTGCTTTCCGCCTCTTTGAGACCAAGATCACCCAAGTCCTGCACTTCAGTATGAAGCAAACCGGAGAGGCGGGCAGGGCTGGGGGGAGACAGGGAGGCTGAGGTGTGGCCGAGGACCTGACCATCTGGAAGTGTGAAAATCCCCTTGGGCTGTCAGAAGCCTTGGGCTTGGCCATAAATAGGGAGGCAGTGGCACCTCTCCATGGGGGTGGCGAAGGTGGAATGAGAGGATCTACACAGAGTCCCCAGCCTGGGCTCACCCTGCACCTTCTCTTCCCCTCTGACCACTTTTGCGCACGTCATCCCCGCAGCCAAGGATGTCAAGGCCGCTGCTAATCAGATGCGCAACTTCCTGGTTCGAGCCTCCTGCCGCCTTCGCTTGGAACCTGGGAAAGAATATTTGATCATGGGTCTGGATGGGGCCACCTATGACCTCGAGGGACAGTGAGTCATCTGGTCCCCTCAGTCTCTTGTCCTCCCCATGCCTCGCCACCTAGGCCTTGCCCCTCAGAAGCCAGATGCCTGTGCTCTCCGTTTCCACCTGCCATCCTCCCGAGCCCTGCTGACTGCCCCTTTGCCCCCTGCAGCCCCCAGTACCTGCTGGACTCGAATAGCTGGATCGAGGAGATGCCCTCTGAACGCCTGTGCCGGAGCACCCGCCAGCGGGCAGCCTGTGCCCAGCTCAACGACTTCCTCCAGGAGTATGGCACTCAGGGGTGCCAGGTGTGAGGGCTGCCCTCCCACCTCCACTGGGAGGAACCTGAACCTGGGAACCATGAAGCTGGAAGCACTGCTGTGTCCGCTTTCATGAACACAGCCTGGGACCAGGGCATATTAAAGGCTTTTGGCAGCAAAGTGTCAGTGTTGGCAGCGAAGTGTCAGTGTGTGTTGCTAGGGCTGAGAGCAGTGCCCCTGCCCGATGCAGTTCTGGGCAGGCCAGGTTGACATAACCTTAGACTCTCTGAGCCCTGATGACCCTTGGGCTGTTCAGCTCTGCTAGAACCTCCCAGATGACCCGCTAGGAGTCTAGTGCTTCACAGGACCACCCCGAGCAGAACTGGGACCCAAGAGCCTGCACCCCAAGGACCAGAGTCCATGCCAAGACCACCCTTCAGCTTCCAAGGCCCTCCACTGCCCGGCTGTCGCCAGTCACCACGGCCTCAGACAGGGCTTGTGCTCAGCTGACACCTGTGACACAGCTCTTCTGCCTCATGAGCTGTTGTCCAGCTACACCTCCCCGACTCTGTCCTCGTGCTGCTGGCGGTTCTGAGGTCTGCAGATTTTAGCTGAGTTCCGGGCTGTTGAAAGCCTGCTGACGCTTGGTTCTGTTATCAGTGGAATGAGGTGACTTTCCCGGAGTTGTGCAATCCTCAGGTCCGGCAGTGTCTTCTTCCAGTTACTGGTTTCAAACAAGCCAAAAGTCTGACTTTGGTGTGTTTGTGAATCCTCTGAGGAAGCCGCTGTTCTCCTGGGGTCTCCCCTTCCCACCGGACCTGCCTAACTTTCCCCCATTTAGTGGCACACCTGGGGTCTTCAGAGATGACTCCGCGTCTGTCCAAAGAAGTTTGGTGAGATCAGTTTCCGTAGAGGTCATGACAGTTCAGCAGCCTGCCATCCAGTCATTCGACAGAAATTCGGGAATCTTTCACTTCATGCCATGCCCTGTGCCAGGTGCCAGAGATACAGCTGCTCACTCCAGGGCTCATCGCTGGGGAGACAGATAAGAGGACGGGCAGTCCCCACCCTCTGTGAAAGATGTGATGTCAGGGAGCAGTGTGGTCCTGTGGGGCATCTAACCAAGTCAGGGGCATTGCCAGGCAGGGACAGGGAAGGCTTCCTGGAGCAGGTGGCCTCCAAGTGGGGCTCTGAAGACTGAGAAGGAGCCAGGCAAAGAGCAGGGGTAGATGAGGGCATCTGGGGCAGAAGGAGAATATACAAAGGCCCAGAGGCCGGGGGCAGGACAGGGTACCTTTGGGGACATTGCATGTAATTGACCACATTCGGAGTTTGGATTTGGAAGTGGTGGAAGAGATGGAGATGGTGAGACAAGTAGTAAGCACGTCAGCCTTCCAGGTGCGCTCCTTTCCGATGAGCACTGTCTTATCCCACGTAACTTTGAGAAGTTTGGGCCTTTCCCACTGTGGCAGAGGTTTCCTGAGGCTCTTGCATACATGGCCCTATGGTTGCTCATCAGATCTTTCTCCCAGTAGCTGCTCAGCATGGTGGTGGCATAAGCCCATTTTCCGGAGCCAGGGATTCAGTTGCAGCAAGACATGGCCCGGTCTGGGAGGTCAACCATGAAGAAGGCAGTAGCTGTCATTGCCCAACCCCAGAAATCCCAATCCTGTTTTCTCCCTCTCAGTCCTGATCATGGATTCAGCAGCAGCGAACTCGCCAATGTAGTGGGTGGCACAGCCAGGGTCTTGACTCTGGCTCTGCAGTAGCACAGTCTGGAAAAGCTCTGAGGGGAGAGAGACCCCCACTGGTCCGAGGGTCTGGCACAGAGCCAGAAATGGGGGGGGAAGGTATGGGGCTGGGTCGCCTCTGACCTCTCAGGTACCATCCAGGAGGCCCTGGCCTCTCACTGAACCCGGCCACTCCTCTTTGGCATGGCCTCTTCCCAAATCCCCAAACTGCCTCCTTACTCACAAAAGTGGTCTCTGAGTGTCAGTCCAGTGGGACCCCCACCCCTTATGGCTTCAGTTCCCCAAATAGGGCTGGACCCTTGATCCTGATCCAGCTGTGGCTATCCAGCCCCTTCCTGGGGACTTTGGACTTTGAGCGGGGGCATGCCCAGTTGTGCTGGGAATCCATACTTTCCCTGGCTGGAGTAGAACCTGTGGACTGTAGTCCTGAGGGCAGTCATGTTCTGCCTGTGCCTGGAAACACAAGAAACTTGACTGCAGAGAGAAGAAAGAGGAGAGAGGAACAGAGCGAGGAAACTGCCCGTCTCCGGGGCTTTTTCTGTTCCCTATCCTTGGCTTTCTAAGACCAGTGGGGTCCCCTCCTCTGCTTCTTTTTCCTGAGTTCTGTGAAATTCCCCAATCCTTACTTTTTGTCTCAAACCAGCTCAAGGTGGGCTGTTTTCCTTTCAACCAAAGAAAGGTGCTCCTGGTGGCTAAAGGTACATATTCGACAGCTAGATTTCCAGGCTGGAATCCTGCCCTCCACAACATGCGAACAATACCCGTGTTGCATATAGAGCATGGCTGTGAAGAGTTGAGTGAGTGCCCACAAAGCACTTAGAGCAGTGTCTGGTACATGCTATTACTCCGCAGCGGGAAACCACTTCCTCCTTTGTCTTCTGGGCACTTTTGTGAGTGAAAGGAGGCACTAATAACAATCACACTGGGATACCTGTATATACTGGAATGCCCCAGGCAAACCAGGCTTAAACTGTATTACTCTATCTGTAGCTTAAACTAACAAACAAACCCACACAAATCACATTTTGTTCTTCAGGCGATTCAGGAAGGCCTATTAGGCAGGGACTGCCATTTTCTCTCTGAGACAAACATCATGCCAGTAAACTGGCCCACGGTGGGGTGGCAGAGGGAGAGGGCCCAGGTCGGGGCGGACACCCTTGCCTGCACGGGTGATGTGGAACCAGAAAGCTGACTCTGGATGCAGGAAAAAGGTCAGGGTTGCATTTCCCTTCCTTGCTTCTCGATGGGTGATTAATTTTTTTTGAAATACGGACGTCCCAAGGCCAATGAGACTGGTGTCATTCCAGAAAAGGGCCACTCTGTGGGTGGGTCGGTGGGAAGGCACCTGAGGGTGGGGTCAAGGGAGGCCCCAAAACAGTCTACACAGCAGGAGGGATGGCTGGGGCTCTTGAGCTATAAGTGGCACCTCAGGGCCCTGACGGGCGTCTTGCCATGCTGCTCCTGGGCCTGCTGCTGCTGCTGCCCCTGCTGGCTGGCGCCCGCCTGCTGTGGAACTGGTGGAAGCTCCGGAGCCTCCACCTCCTGCCTCTTGCCCCGGGCTTCTTGCACCTGCTGCAGCCCGACCTCCCCATCTATCTGCTTGGCCTGACTCAGAAATTCGGGCCCATCTACAGGCTCCACCTTGGGCTGCAAGGTGAGAGGCTGATCTCGCTCTGGCCCTCACCATAGGAGGGGGCGGAGGTGACGGAGAGGGTCCTCTCTCCGCTGACGCTGCTTTGGCTGTCTCCCAGATGTGGTGGTGCTGAACTCCAAGAGGACCATTGAGGAAGCCATGGTCAAAAAGTGGGCAGACTTTGCTGGCAGACCTGAGCCACTTACCTGTAAGGGCCGGGGGCATTTTTTCTTTCTTAAACAAATTTTTTTTTTGTTAGAGATGGGGTCTTGCTATGTTGCCCAGGCTGGTCTTGAATTCCTGGTCTCAAGTGATCCTCCCACCTCGGCCTCAAGTGGGAGCCACCTTCGGGGGCTTCCCCAATCCTCCAGGTCACTGGAAGCTCTTGGGGGGCATATCTTCAGGAGAAGAAGCAGGTGTTGAGGAGGCAGAAGAAGGTCAGGCCCTCGGCTTCCTTGGTCAGTTCCCACCCTCCAGCCCCCAGCTCCTCCTGCAGACAAGCTGGTGTCTAAGAACTACCCGGACCTGTCGTTGGTCTCTGCTCTGGAAAGCCCACAAGAAGCTCACCCGCTCAGCCCTGCTGCTGGGCATCCGTGACTCCATGGAGCCAGTGGTGGAGCAGCTGACCCAGGAGTTCTGTGAGGTAAGGCTGGGCTCCTGAGGCCACCTCGGGTCAGCCTCACCTCTCACAGTAGCCCCCGCCCTGCCCGCTGCACAGCGGCCTGCTGAACTCACACTGTTTCTCCACAGCGCATGAGAGCCCAGCCCGGCACCCCTGTGGCCATTGAGGAGGAATTCTCTCTCCTCACCTGCAGCATCAACTGTTACCTCACCTTCGGAGACAAGATCAAGGTGCCTCACAGCCCCTCAGGCCCACCCCCAGCCCCTCCCTGAGCCTCTCCTTGTCCTGAACTGAAAGTACTCCATCCTTTCCTGGCAGGAGGACAACTTAATGCCTGCCTATTACAAATGTATCCAGGAGGTGTTAAAAACCTGGAGCCACTGGTCCATCCAAATTGTGGACATGATTCCCTTTCTCAGGGTGAGGACCTGGAGCCTAGACACCCCTGGGTTGTGGGGGAGAGGCTGGGGTGGAGGGAGAGGCTCCTTCCCACAGCTGCATTCTCATGCTTCCTGCCGCAGTTCTTCCCCAATCCAGGTCTCCGGAGGCTGAAGCAGGCCATAGAGAAGAGGGACCACAACGAGGAGAAGCAGCTGAGGCAGCACAAGGTGGGGACTGTGTGTGGACGGCCTCCCCTCGGCCCACAGCCAGTGATGCTACCGGCCTCAGCATTGCTATGAGGCGGGTTCTTTTGCATACCCCAGTTATGGGCCTGTTGCCACTCTGTACTCCTCTCCCCAGGCCAGCCGCTCAGCCCGCTCCTTTCACCCTCTGCAGGAGAGCCTGGTGGCAGGCCAGTGGAGGGACATGATGGACTACATGCTCCAAGGGGTGGCGCAGCTGAGCATGGAAGAGGGCTCTGGACAGCTCCTGGAAGGGCACGTGCACATGGCTGCAGTGGACCTCCTGATCGGTGGCACTGAGACCACAGCAAACACCCTCTCCTGGGCCGTGGTTTTTTTTGCTTCACCACCCTGAGGTGCGTCCTGCGGACAAGCAAAAGGCTCCTTCCCAGCAACCTGGCCAGGGCGGTGGGCACCCTCACTCAGCTCTGAGCACTGTGCGGCTGGGGCTGTGCTTGCCTCACCGGCACTCAGGCTCACTGGGTTGCTGAGGGAGCGGCTGGAGGCTGGGCAGCTGTGGGCTGCTGGGGCAGGACTCCACCCGATCATTCCCCAGATTCAGCAGCGACTGTAGGAGGAGCTAGACCACGAACTGGGCCCTGGTGCCTCCAGCTCCCGGGTCCCCTACAAGGACCGTGCACGGCTGCCCTTGCTCAATGCCACCATCGCCGAGGTGCTGCGCCTGCGGCCCGTTGTGCCCTTAGCCTTGCCCCACCGCACCACACGGCCCAGCAGGTGACTCCCGAGGGTTGGGGATGAGTGAGGAAAGCCCGAGCCCAGGGAGGTCCTGGCCAGCCTCTAACTCCAGCCCCCTTCAGCATCTCTGGCTACGACATCCCTGAGGGCACAGTCATCATTCCGAACCTCCAAGGCGCCCACCTGGATGAGACGGTCTGGGAGAGGCCACATGAGTTCTGGCCTGGTATGTGGGGGGCCGGGGGCCTGCCGTGAAAATGTGGTGGAGGCTGGTCCCCGCTGCCGCTGAACGCCTCCCCACCCACCTGTCCACCCGCCCGCAGATCGCTTCCTGGAGCCAGGCAAGAACTCCAGAGCTCTGGCCTTCGGCTGCGGTGCCCGCGTGTGCCTGGGCGAGCCGCTGGCGCGCCTGGAGCTCTTCGTGGTGCTGACCCGACTGCTGCAGGCCTTCACGCTGCTGCCCTCCGGGGACGCCCTGCCCTCCCTGCAGCCCCTGCCCCACTGCAGTGTCATCCTCAAGATGCAGCCTTTCCAAGTGCGGCTGCAGCCCCGGGGGATGGGGGCCCACAGCCCGGGCCAGAACCAGTGATGGGGCAGGACCGATGCCAGCCGGGTACCTCAGTTTCTCCTTTATTGCTCCCGTACGAACCCCTCCCCTCCCCCCTGTAAACACAGTGCTGCGAGATCGCTGGCAGAGAAGGCTTCCTCCAGCGGCTGGGTGGTGAAGGACCCTGGCTCTTCTCTCGGGGCGACCCCTCAGTGCTCGGCAGTCATACTGGGGTGCGAGAGAGGTGGGCAGCAGCTCAGCCTCCCCCCGCTGGGGAGCGAAAGTTTCTTGGTCTCAGCTTCATTTCCGTGAAGGGCACCGAGAACTCGAAGCCCTTCCAGTGGTACCAGCTCACTCCCTGGGAAAGGGGTTGTCAAGAGAGAGTCAAAGCCGGATGTCCCATCTGCTCCTCCCGTTCCCCTTAAGGAGGTGGCTCCCAGCACTCAACCAACCTCCCCGCAGAGCTCCCTTCCTGACCCTCTGCCGCAGAGGATTGAGGCTTAATCCTGAGCTGGTCCTTTCCAGCCAATAAATCAACTCCAGCTCCCTCTGCGAGGCTGGCATGATTGTTCCATTTCACCCAGCCACTCAGTCCCTTGCCTGTTACACTGTGGGGCCGAAACCTAGGCAGGCCGAGCCCCAGCCACCCCAGCTCTGAGCCGCCTCCCCACCCCTCACCTGATGGTCCACTGTGCTCCCGTAGAGCCCGTTGAGGTTGGCGTAGTGGCAGTTCCTGTACCACCAGGCCCCTCGGTAGGAGACAGCGCAGGAGATGAGCAAGTTGTTGGGGTTCCGATCACGGGCAGAGAAGACACTGCCGCTGTGGTAGCTCATGGAGTCCCCTGGGCAGGGTGGAGGAAGGAGCCATGAGGGCCTCCCCTCCCAGCCTCACCCTCCCAGCCTCACAGCCTCTGCTTACCTGCGGTGCCGTGGTAGCCCTCCAAGTGGAGGCGGTAGTACTCCGCAGCCGAGTCTACGTGGAAGGAGTCGTACTGGGCGAACACAGCCTCGTCCCCAGCCCGCAGGTCCACGTGCATGGAGTAGTCACCTGCCTGTGTCAGGCTGTGCAGGGCCTCATTGCCTGGGGGTGGGATATGTGCCCTCATCAGGGTCCTGGTGTCCACAGGGCCCCCATCCCCATCCGTACTTCCCCAGTCCCTGTGAGGCACTGACCCAGCCAGAACTCTCCAGAGATGTTCCCAAAACCATGGGCATAGTCCTCCCAGTCCCTCCAGAAGTCTGTCTGTCCATCCATGTGGCGCTGGAACACCTGGGAAGCAAGTGGGGGCACCATCAGCCTCTGGCTCCCGGGGCAACAGCCCCTTGCCCTGCACAGACCCCTGGGCTTCCCAATGCCATCCACCAGCCAGCCGCCCCCATCAGTCTCCATGTCCCAAAACACGTTCAGGGGCCACTCCCGGTTGCCGTTGAGGAAGATGGTGCTGGTCCTGGAGGCACCGGCTCCGTTCTGCATCTCCTCCCCGCAGTCCCTGGGGAAGGGGATCCGCAGCCCACCTGGGAGAGGAGAGCAGGGGCCAGTCCTTTTCCAAGCCTTAGGCCCTGGCTGCCCACCCAGCCCCCGGCCCCGGGCCCGTGCGTCCAGGTACCCGTGGTGAAAGAGGTGGACACGGGCGGCAGGAGGCTCTGGCCCCACATGGCCTGGAGCCGTGCATTGTAGGAGGTGGAGGGAAAGAGGCCAAGGAGCTGGTGAGATGTGATCCCTCCTGGGAGCAGGATCTCCTGTGGGACAGACAAGGGGGGGTCAGGGGAGAGGGAGGTGGAGACCCTCCGGGAGGGCCAGAGGCAGCACCTCCTGGAATCACCCAGGGAGGGGAGTTGGGTCAGTGGGGCCGGGGCACCTGGTTCTGTCCACCAGGGGTGTGGAAGCTGAGCAGGTAGCCTGCGGGCCGGACTGGGGGCTCAGTCCAAGTGAGCAGGGCGGTGCGGGGGGTCACTTCCTTGGCCTCCAAGTCCCGAGGGGCCTCTAGCCCTAGGAGGGAAAGCAGGAAGAGGAGATGGGGATGAGGCCCAACCTGGCTCCCTCTACCTCCTCTCCCTGTCCCACACACCCCACAGACCCTACCTGTGGTGAAGGTGATGCTGGCTGGGGAAGTGAGGTTGGGGCCCCGCAGGCCACGCACTGTGGCGGTGTAGTTGGTGTGGAGGACAAGGTCATGCAGGGGGTAGTCCACCGCGCTGCCTGGGGTCTCCGCCTGCAGAGGCGGGGCTGGGAGTGTAGAGAGGGGCATCAAGGCCTGCCCCCTCCATCCTCGGCCAGAGTCCAGCCTCCCCCCTGCAATCCCCACCCTGAACAAGTCCCCTCCAGAGGCCTCAGCCCTGCTCACCCCCAGGGGCTGTGACCTGGACGTCATAGGTGTCCACAGGATTCTGGGGGGGCTTCCAGTGCAGCACGGCGAATCCCTCGGTCAAGTTCAGTGCACGCAACTGTGTGGGACCGTCAGGAACTGGGGGAAGGGGAGGGGCTCAGAAGGGTCCCCGCGGCTCTCTCTACTCCGTGCCTCCCCAGACTCCACTGGCCTCCCGTCCGCAATCGGAGCCTCCACCACCTCCCTTTCACCCTCCTCGTTCTCTCTCAACTCCCACCCATGCCGTTTTCTTGACTCCCACCTGGAGTTTCTGGGTCCGGGCCCGGCCGTCCACCTGCACACTCTGAGGCTCCCCTGAAAACGTTGGGGATCGAGGGTTACCCAGGGAACCCCAGGGCGGCTGGAGGGTGGGCAGAGTGCAGGGGGGAGAGGAAATGCGAGGCGATGAGCACATGGCAAAGGCACCACCTCCGTCCGCCAGCTGGTAGGAGACTTTGAAGCTGTCCGCCCGGGATGGTGGGGGCATCCAGTTGACCTTGGCTGAGGTCTCCCTGATTTCACTGAATTGGAGGTCACGGGGGCTCTCCAGAACTGCAGAGGGGTCAAGGAACAATGACGCAGGCAGGGGCAGGGAGGCTTCTCCCTGCGAGTCCCCCCCTCGCCTCTGCTCCAGCACAGGCTCACCACCCCTTTTCCTCTAGTCCCCAGGAATGGAAGTCGCTCTGCAGATTCCTCCAGGCCCACCACCAACTCGCCCACCCCCACCGCTGGCTGAGGCACTAGGTCCCCCCCGTGAAGTACAAAGACCCCCACTTTGGGGCAGAGTGTGTGTGGGTCCTTACCTGGGCTGAGGGTGCGGGCGGTTCCCTGGATGCTGTCGGCCTTGTGGGGTCCTCGCAGCCCATACAGTGTCAGGCTGTACAGAGTCCCGGAACGCAGGTCCCGGAGCACGGCCGAGTGCCGCGTCCCCGGCACCATCAGCTCGCGCTGCAGCAGTGGACGCGGATGCGGCTCCAGAGTGCTTGGTGATGGAACCCCAAAGCGGAGCAGGAAGGAGTCGAAGGCCCCCGGTGGGGCCTCCCAGTTGAGCCTCAGTGAACTGGTGGTCACGTCAGTCACAGACAGCTGGGACAGGCGGGGCCTTGACTCCTCTGAGGTCTGACCAGCAGGAGCCAGCCCTGCACGGAGTGGGTGGGGGAGAAGGGATTGGAGACAGAAGCACACCAGCTTGGTGACCCAGAGCACGTCCCTTCCACCCCCCTCCCTGCCCCTGTTTCTCTATCTGTAACCAGGGACTTGCAGCCACAGGGGGGTCCTGTGGGGCAGAGCTAAAGGCCACTCGCATCCAGCCCATCCATCCTCTCTCCCTGGTACCCGCCTCACGCTCTTTCCCTGCGACCACCCCTTCTGAGCCCCCGTTTCTCCCTTCTGAGTCCTAGGCTAGAGGCCGGAGACGCCTGGTGGTACCTGTGGTGCCCTCAGCTGAGAGGGGCCCCAGGCGCTTCCCTTCATGGAGGCCATAGAGGAGGAACCTGTAGGGGGTGCTGGGCTCCAGGCCTGAGATGAGGATCTTGCTCTGGTCGCCGTCCACGAGCAAGGCCTGGGGCTGCCCGTTCGTGTCCTCATACTGGACCACGAAGGAATCAAAGGGGCCCTGGGCCACGCTCCACGAGAGGCGCATGGAGTCTGGGGTTGTGTCGGTCACGGTCAGCACTCCTAGGCGGGGCTCTTCAGGAGGCTCAGGGGCCTCTGGGGCTAACTCTGGGGCTGGTGTGTCCTCTTCTGGGGCTGCGTGGGAGAAGCCCAGGGGAGAATCTGAGTGAGGGGCGCCATGGGGTGCTCCATTTTTATCTTCCAGGCTTGGCCCAAGGCTGAGGTGGGAAGTTTATAGGTCCAGGCCCAGTCAGACAATGAAGTCGCTGTGGCCTCGTGACTCCTGCGAGCTCCCGCGCTGTCTGAGTCAGGTGCTCGCTTCCCCCTTCCACACCCCGGTGTCCTGCCGAGCCCACCTCGAGATATCACAGGCTCTGGCCCCACCCATGCCGGGATACATTCACTGAGCTTGAGGAGTGTGGTGCTCCCTTCTGAGAGAAGCTGAGGGTGGAACTGGCTGGTTGAGGTGACTGGCAAATCCCACCAGCCGTGCCGTGGTCAGGCCTGTCTGAGGTGGGCATCAGCGAGCTCTGGAAGAGGAGCCTGTACCACAAATGCAGCCACTGCTGTTGGTTTCTGTGTCCCCGCTCATTTTGTTTTCCAGTGATGTTCCTCTTAAGAAAATGCTCCTGACTCATCCACGGCAGGGAGGTTTGCCACTATCTGGACAAGGCCACCCTTCGGGGAGGCGACAGCAGCCCCAGCGAGTAATGAGGAGCAGCGGCAGTGACGGGGCAGAGTCGGGGCTGGGAGATTAGAGAGCCCCTCCCAGGGCCTTTCCCTCCCGCCTGGCCTGGCTCCTGCTCTGGACTCCTTGATGGATGTTGAAGCCCACAGGGCTGCAGACTCCTCCTCCTTCCTGGGCACAGGCCAGGTCACCCCACTCCGGCCTGCCCACTCCTGCAGTCATCTTTGTCTTCAGACCAAATGCACAAGTACTTTGTTAAAGGTATCCCATCTGCAGCTCAAGCCTGCAGCCCCTCACCTTTTGGTGGCTCCTCAGGCCTCTAGGCCTTATTCACCTTTCCCCTCTCCTGTGCCACTTCTCCTCTAGGGCGCCAGGCTGTCCTTGGCATGGTCCGGAAGGCAAAGTACCGGGAGCTGCTCCTATCAGAGCTCCTGGGCCGGCGGGTGCCTGTCGTGGTGCGGCTTGGCCTCACCTACCATGTGCACGACCTCATTGGGGCCCAGCTAGTGGACTGGTGAGTCTTTCCCTGGCCTCTGGCAGATTATGGAGCAATGACCCAAAGTGGGATTTCCTCCCAGCTCATGCTTAGTTTCCTAGTGAAGGCCAGTGGCTCTCATTCTTCTCTGGAACCCGGGAGCACCCCTTCCCAAGTTCTAAGTTCTCCTCACAGCTTGAGCCTAGGCGTCTGGCTCCAGCCTTGTCTTTCTCCTGCACAGCATCTCTACCACTTCAGGAACCCTCCTCCGCCTGCCAGAGACATGAAGATTCTGCTCATCATTGCTCAGCTCCTCAGAGTGGGCCGGGAGGGGACTAGAAGAGCTGCATGATGGTGGCTGAGACAGGGTCACCTTGGGAAGGCTTGGGAGCCAGGATGAGTGTCGGGCTCTCGTGTGTGCAAAAGGTCAGATGTGACTGCTGCTGTTTGCCTGGTTTCTGACCCAGTGGTGGGGTTTGAGCAATGCTTCTCTGCCCTTCCATGGAAAGTGGAACCAGAAATGGTGCCAAGGCTGTGGCTGTTCCCTTTCGTGTAAAATGGTGCTGTTATTACTCTGTCTTGAAATAGGAAGGTGGGATTTCTGGGGAGGCTGGTGAAGGAGGGCAGGGTTCTTTTCTCTACGTGTCATGTTAAAATTGCCAAATAAAGTACCTCTGCCTGTGATATTTTCTGGATGTCCTTTATTTACTGTGACGTGTGTTTGGGTGCCTTGTTTAGGGGTAGAGGTGAAGTCTGAGCTTTGCCTCATTCAGAGAGGAAAGGGGTCAGGGGTTCACTCTGACGTTCAGGCCATTCTCCCTGTGGAGTGGTGAGGGTGTACCTAATCTCCTAAACCACGGAATTTCTGTTAGGGCCTAAAAAAGCAAAAGCCTAGTATAGTTCAATTTGTGTTGGAATGAAAGTAAGAGACAAGTGTCTTAGAAGCCTGTCATTGTTTTGTGAGGGCCTTTAAATATCCTGTACTCGTGGGCCATGTTGGGCCCTTGTACGCCCAGGTATACATGAGCTTGTGTGCACCTATACCCTGATACAGATATACCTGGTAGGGGGAGGTGCTCAGGCACTGGAATGAGAGGAGTTAACGGGGAAGGACAGGGTTATTTCTGGGCCAAGATTCAGAGTTTCCCATGGACACCCAGGTGTCCGGGGTGCCCCCACAACTCTGGGCCTGAGGCCAGTTGCACTTCTTGGCTGTCACGTGGTTTCCCAGCTTAGCTGGGCTGGGGGAGGAGCAAGGTCCAGAGTCAACTCTGCCCCGAGGCCTAGCTTGGCCAGAAGGTAGCAGACAGACAGACGGATCTAACCTCTCTTGGATCCTCCAGCCATGAGGCTGCTCTGGGGGCTGATCTGGGCATCCAGCTTCTTCACCTTATCTCTGCAGAAGCCCAGGTCCTGGAGGCGGGATGCTGGGTGCTTGGATTGGGGCAGGGCTGGCATCGGGACCCGATTCAGGAGTGAGGGAGAGCAGGGGTGGAGGTGTCAGAGCGAAGTCTGACTGCTGATCCTGTCTGTTCTCCCCAGGTTGCTCTTGTTCTCTCCTTCTGTGGTTCATCTGGGGGTCCCCCTATCGGTGGGGGTGCAGCTCCAGGATGTGCCCCGAGGACAGGTAGTGAAAGGATCAGTGTTCCTGAGAAACCCATCTCGTAATAATGTCCCCTGCTCCCCAAAGGTGGACTTCACCCTTAGCTCAGAAAGAGACTTTGCACTCCTCAGTCTCCAGGTAACCAGACCCCATGCCCTCCTGCTGCTTGTGGGGGCCTCCTGCCCTGTTCCCATCTGTCTTGTAAGTGTCATCATCTTCCCACTGGCCTCCTCCCCTCCTGTCTTCCCACCCTGGCATTCTCCTTCCACGTTTCTCCCTTGGTCTCTGTCCTTTTTGGTCAGCTGTCTCTTGCTCTGTGACCCGCTCCCTCTCCCTCTCCCTCTCCTGACAGGTGCCCTTGAAAGATGCGAAGAGCTGTGGCCTCCATCAACTCCTCAGAGGCCCTGAGGTCCAGCTGGTGGCCCATTCGCCATGGCTAAAGGACTCTCTGTCCAGAACGACAAACATCCAGGGTATCAACCTGCTCTTCTCCTCTCGCCGGGGGCACCTCTTTTTGCAGACGGACCAGCCCATTTACAACCCTGGCCAGCGGGGTGAGTCTCAGCCCCAGGGCCTCAACCTTTAACCCCCTCCGAGCCCTCTCAGGATGAGTTTGGTGCCCCCTAAGTGAGATAACCTGAAAGAAAGTGCCACACAGAAGGGGTGCTTAGGAAACATTTGTCCCCTGCTCCCTCTGTGGAGTTTGACCCACCCTCCCCTTGCACATGGACCCCTGCTCACCTCTCTCCTCCTCCACTCCCAGTTCGGTACCGGGTCTTTGCTCTGGATCAGAAGATGCGCCCGAGCACTGACACCATCACAGTCATGGTGGAGGTGAGTCCCCGACCTCTGGCCTTCCTGATCCTGGCCACTGATGTGACCTCCTGCCTGTGAGCACTTCTCCCCTTGCAGAACTCTCACGGCCTCCGCGTGCGGAAGAAGGAGGTGTACATGCCCTCGTCCATCTTCCAGGATGACTTTGTGATCCCAGACATCTCAGAGTGAGCGCTCCCAATGTGGGGGCTGCCCCCAAGCTACACCACCCCAATTCCTGTTAGGCTCTCCACCTCCCACACAGAGGCACGTCCCCAGATGCCCTGACCCTCAGCCTCCTGAGCCTCTGGTTAACCCCCACAGTCCTCTTCCCAGGGAAGCAGGCTGCTGGCTCTCCGTGCCCCACTGTACAGATGGGCTGAGCCCCTTCCTTGTCCATTCTCAGGCCAGGGACCTGGAAGATCTCAGCCCGATTCTCAGATGGCCTGGAATCCAACAGCAGCACCCAGTTTGAGGTGAAGAAATATGGTGAGAGCTGGAAACTGGAGGGACAGGCAGCTGCTTTCCTGAAGGAAATAAGGGTGGAAGGAGAGGTACTGGGAGCAGCTCAGGGCAGGGAGATATGGGTGCCACAGCCCTGAGCAGAGGGGAGTCTTTGAGCTGGAGTCTGACCTGCCTATCCCTTCACCCTGGGTCAGTCCTTCCCAACTTTGAGGTGAAGATCACCCCTGGAAAGCCCTACATCCTGACGGTGCCAGGCCATCTTGATGAAATGCAGTTAGACATCCAGGCCAGGTAATACCTCCCTCCCCACCTCTGCCCACCAGCACCGGGTCCTGCTCCCTACTCAGTATGAATGGGCTCCTGCTTCCCTGCCCTCGGGCCATTATTCCCCCCAGCCCTTGGCCCACCCTCTTCTCTCTGCCACGACAGGTACATCTATGGGAAGCCAGTGCAGGGGGTGGCATATGTGCGCTTTGGGCTCCTAGATGAGGATGGTAAGAAGACTTTCTTTCGGGGGCTGGAGAGTCAGACCAAGGTAGGAAGGAGAATAGGGGCTGGGGAGGGGAAGGGGCAAGGGAGGTGAGGTGGGAGACTCAGTCTCACCCTATGTCCTGTTTCTTTCTATGCCCCAGCTGGTGAATGGACAGAGCCACATTTCCCTCTCAAAGGCAGAGTTCCAGGACGCCCTGGAGAAGCTGAATATGGGCATTACTGACCTCCAGGGGCTGCGCCTCTACGTTGCTGCAGCCATCATTGAGTCTCCAGGTGGGTGACTTTCCCTTATTGTAACCCCAGACCCTTGCCTCTGACCTCTGAGCTAACCCTCTGTCCTCCGGCACCAACACCACCCCACTTCTCACATCTCATCTCAGACTCAAAACCAGGAAACACCCAGGAGACCTGGTTTCTCTCCAACTCTGTCTCTGTGACTCGGCCCTTTTCCCTGGCTGAGTTTATTTATTTCTTTGCTCGTTCTGCTCATTCCTTCACTCCTCCAGTGGACATGTGTTGTTCAATGCCCTGTGCTGGGCCTCAGCATGTACAGACAGGAATACAGCAGCCTGTGCCCTGGGAGCTCACTGTCTTGTGGGAGGGAACCACTCAAGCCACTCCCTACTTGTCCTCCTGTCCCTCTCTTCTTGGGCTCTGTCCCCCACCTCTCTCTGTCCTTTGTCTTGCAGGTGGGGAGATGGAGGAGGCAGAGCTCACATCCTGGTATTTTGTGTCATCTCCCTTCTCCTTGGATCTTAGCAAGACCAAGCGACACCTTGTGCCTGGGGCCCCCTTCCTGCTGCAGGTTTCTTCCAGAGGGGAAGGATGAGTAGGGAGGATGTGGTAGTTAGGAGGGCTCAGGGTCTGACCACTCTCTTTTGCCTGCCCTCCTTTACCTGCCTAGGCCTTGGTCCGTGAGATGTCAGGCTCCCCAGCTTCTGGCATTCCTGTCAAAGTTTCTGCCACGGTGTCTTCTCCTGGGTCTGTTCCTGAAGTCCAGGACATTCAGCAAAACACAGACGGGAGCGGCCAAGTCAGCATTCCAATAATTATCCCTCAGACCATCTCAGAGCTGCAGCTCTCAGTAGGACTCCTCGGACCCCTGGGAGATGGTGGGGGAAGGGGAGGAGGGTGAGCTGGGGTCCCAAGGATCCATGGCCTGACTTGGGGGGAAGGTGGGGTACTTGGCTCTGAGCTACTACCCTATTCGCACCTGACCCCCTCTCCAGGTATCTGCAGGCTCCCCACATCCAGCGATAGCCAGGCTCACTGTGGCAGCCCCACCTTCAGGAGGCCCCGGGTTTCTGTCTATTGAGCGGCCGGATTCTCGACCTCCTCGTGTTGGGGACACTCTGAACCTGAACTTGCGAGCCGTGGGCAGTGGGGCCACCTTTTCTCATTACTACTACATGGTGTGCATGAGCTGGGGAGTCACGGAGGGCTGGGGTGCAGGGAAGAGCCCTCTGGGTGGGGCTGGGGGGGTTCAAGGCTGAGGCTGTCCCATGAAGAGGCAACCACTCTTGTCCCTCCCATTCTTGGCCCAGATCCTATCCCGAGGGCAGATCGTGTTCATGAATCGAGAGCCCAAGAGGACCCTGACCTCGGTCTCGGTGTTTGTGGACCATCACCTGGCACCCTCCTTCTACTTTGTGGCCTTCTACTACCATGGAGACCACCCAGTGGCCAACTCCCTGCGAGTGGATGTCCAGGCTGGGGCCTGCGAGGGCAAGGTGACCGGGGTCAGGAGAGATGGCACTTGTGCCGAGGGGGTTGAGGACAGGGTGATTGCCAACAGGGCATGGATTTAGCTTGGGGGCAGTGAGGATACCGGGACTGAAGGAAGCTCTCCCACTCTGACCGCCCCCACCTGCCGCCCCTGCCAGCTGGAGCTCAGCGTGGACGGTGCCAAGCAGTACCGGAACGGGGAGTCCGTGAAGCTCCACTTAGAAACCGACTCCCTAGCCCTGGTGGCGCTGGGAGCCTTGGACACAGCTCTGTATGCTGCAGGCAGCAAGTCCCACAAGCCCCTCAACATGGGCAAGGTTTGTCCAGACCCTCTCCACAGCTCTCTCACCCCTCCATGGCTCATCCCCCTGCTTCCCTGAGCCTTGGGCGCAGCCCCTGGATCCCACTGAGGCTCCCCACAGTCTCTTCCCCACTTGGCCCTGTGGTCTCCATCTCCTGGCTCTGTATCCTTTCCTATCCCCCCATGTGCTGCCCTCTCACCTGTGCCGAGTGCTCAGTCCTGCCCCTCAGCCACACTTGGCTCCTAGCATTCCTGCCTTTCTTGCAGGTCTTTGAAGCTATGAACAGCTATGACCTCGGCTGTGGTCCTGGGGGTGGGGACAGTGCCCTTCAGGTGTTCCAGGCAGCGGGCCTGGCCTTTTCTGATGGAGACCAGTGGACCTTATCCAGAAAGAGTGAGAACAGAGAAGGAAGGGGAGTGGGTGGCGGGAAGATAAGGAAGGAGGAAGGGCCTGAGGGGACCAGCTGGAAGAGTCCGGGCAGGAAGGGCTGGGCAGGGGAAGGGGAGGAGGGGAGGAGGCCGAGTGCCTGACGGCTGGACTGCAGCCTTTCTCTCTACCAGGACTAAGCTGTCCCAAGGAGAAGACAACCCGGAAAAAGAGAAACGTGAACTTCCAAAAGGCGATTAATGAGAAATGTGAGTTGCGGGTGCCTAGGCAGTAGCTTGGGCTCTCCACCTGGGATCCGGGTTGGGGGTCTGCCTCTCTGCCCCTCGGCTCCTTGCTGAACCCACGTGTGGTATTTGGGGCCAGAGATCTGAATTCCGGGATTACGAGTGGAAGGTGGGCAGCTCTCTCCAGCAGCCTCTCTTATGTTGCTGGTCTCAAGGGGTCGGGGCGGGGGCTGAGGTGTATGTCCTTTTTGTCCTCTCATGCTCACCCCCACCTGGCCCTGCAGTGGGTCAGTATGCTTCCCCGACAGCCAAGCGCTGCTGCCAGGATGGGGTGACACGTCTGCCCATGATGCGTTCCTGCGAGCAGCGGGCAGCCCGCGTGCAGCAGCCGGACTGCCGGGAGCCCTTCCTGTCCTGCTGCCAATTTGCTGAGAGTCTGCGCAAGAAGAGCAGGGACAAGGGCCAGGCGGGCCTCCAACGAGGTGAGGGGCTGGGTGGGGCTAGGGCACAGGTGGCGGCGCTTGGAAAGGCAGAACGGTCCCCTCCTCACTCCCGTCCACCGTGGTCCCCCAGCCCTGGAGATCCTGCAGGAGGAGGACCTGATTGATGAGGATGACATTCCCGTGCGCAGCTTCTTCCCAGAGAACTGGCTCTGGAGAGTGGAAACAGTGGACCGCTTTCAAATGTGAGAGTGTGTGCCGGCCCGGCCTTTTCTCTGTGCTGTGTCTCGGGGCCAGCCGGGGTAGACGGGCCTTCTCTGCCTTTCCCTACACAGATTGACACTGTGGCTCCCCGACTCTCTGACCACGTGGGAGATCCATGGCCTGAGCCTGTCCAAAACCAAAGGTGATGTCACCCTGTCTGGGCCTCAGGTGACC
This sequence comes from Homo sapiens, assembly GCF_000001405.40. Lineage (NCBI taxonomy): Eukaryota > Metazoa > Chordata > Mammalia > Primates > Hominidae > Homo > Homo sapiens. Next base: position 3,268,165 of record NT_167245.2, read on the forward strand.
CTGCTTCCATTTCCCTGTACCCCAGCTCCCTGTTCCCTTTGCTCTTAGTGTAGGAAGAGGGTCCAGTGATCTGGGGAGGTCTGTGCCAGCGTGCAGCTGGCGTGGGCCAGAGGGCAGAGGCGGACTGAGACAGAGCTGGGTCACCCCCACCCCTCCCTCCTGTGGCCCTGAAGCTTTGATGGCCCCTCTGATCTCTGCCCCTGTGCCCACGCTTCCTTTCCCTCAGGCCTATGTGTGGCCACCCCAGTCCAGCTCCGGGTGTTCCGCGAGTTCCACCTGCACCTCCGCCTGCCCATGTCTGTCCGCCGCTTTGAGCAGCTGGAGCTGCGGCCTGTCCTCTATAACTACCTGGATAAAAACCTGACTGTGAGGCCCCATGGGAGCCTGAGCATACAGGAGTTGGGGGAGCCAGGGCCCAGTGAGGGGTGGGGAGGCTAACCGGGCCAGGACTCTGGCCATCCTCGTTTTCCTGCCCTCAGGTGAGCGTCCACGTGTCCCCAGTGGAGGGGCTGTGCCTGGCTGGGGGCGGAGGGCTGGCCCAGCAGGTGCTGGTGCCTGCGGGCTCTGCCCGGCCTGTTGCCTTCTCTGTGGTGCCCACGGCAGCCGCCGCTGTGTCTCTGAAGGTGGTGGCTCGAGGGTCCTTCGAATTCCCTGTGGGAGATGCGGTGTCCAAGGTTCTGCAGATTGAGGTGAATGGAGCACCCCTGAATATAAGTCCCCGGGCCCCCAGCTTTGTCCTCCACCCTCAGCACTCTCTCTGCTGGCCAGGCCAGGGGCCCAACACCCAAACCAATGCCTTGGTCTGTTCCCATCTTCTACAATTCTGATCCAACTCTGTCCCTGGAGTTGAAACTCAAAGTTCTGGGGGAGTCTGCGCTAGCAGGGCAGGCTGTAGTCCTGTGTGACCTCACAACCATGTTTTCCCTGAGACAGAAGGAAGGGGCCATCCATAGAGAGGAGCTGGTCTATGAACTCAACCCCTTGGGTGAGTGACCCTCTACCTCCAGCCATTGGTTTCCTAAGTGGGTACAGGTGGTGGGGGATGTGGACAGCAGGACAGGCTGCCAACTTCCCCCATTTCCCCAGACCACCGAGGCCGGACCTTGGAAATACCTGGCAACTCTGATCCCAATATGATCCCTGATGGGGACTTTAACAGCTACGTCAGGGTTACAGGTGGGAGTGCCCTTTAGTCCCTTCCCAGTGGCCACCTTCGGATTCATGTGGGACCTGTGGATCCCTGCTTGGTCCCACTCCCCGTGAGCCTCTGACACAGAGTCCTCAGACCTCCACCCTCTCCCTCCCATGTAGCCTCAGATCCATTGGACACTTTAGGCTCTGAGGGGGCCTTGTCACCAGGAGGCGTGGCCTCCCTCTTGAGGCTTCCTCGAGGCTGTGGGGAGCAAACCATGATCTACTTGGCTCCGACACTGGCTGCTTCCCGCTACCTGGACAAGACAGAGCAGTGGAGCACACTGCCTCCCGAGACCAAGGACCACGCCGTGGATCTGATCCAGAAAGGTTCTGGGTGCAAGGGCAAGCAGGAGGGGGGCCAGGAAAGGACAGTTACTGGAAGATGGACAGCCCAGGAGGCTACAGAGGGAAAGAAAGGGGGCCCCTGATGAGGATGGGGAGCATGGCCTTGGGCTCAAACAGCAGAAGGGTGAGTGTCACCTGAGCGGCCACCTCTCCTCTCCAAGGCTACATGCGGATCCAGCAGTTTCGGAAGGCGGATGGTTCCTATGCGGCTTGGTTGTCACGGGGCAGCAGCACCTGGTGAGCTTGGGAGAGTGGTTCCAGGGTTCTGAGGGGGTCAGGGCTGGGGCAGGGGTGGGACAGAGCTGGTATGATGGGAGGGTGGATAACCAGGCACCTGGGGGCGTGGGCATAATGAGAAGCAAGTCCTTATCCCCAACCCTCCTTTCCTGCCCTCCAGGCTCACAGCCTTTGTGTTGAAGGTCCTGAGTTTGGCCCAGGAGCAGGTAGGAGGCTCGCCTGAGAAACTGCAGGAGACATCTAACTGGCTTCTGTCCCAGCAGCAGGCTGACGGCTCGTTCCAGGACCTCTCTCCAGTGATACATAGGAGCATGCAGGTGCGGGCATGCTGGGGCTGGCCCGAGAAGCGCCTGTCGGAGGACTCTCTTTGCCCCTTCCCCCTCCTGTTTGACATCTTTTCTCCCCTTACTAGGGGGGTTTGGTGGGCAATGATGAGACTGTGGCACTCACAGCCTTTGTGACCATCGCCCTTCATCATGGGCTGGCCGTCTTCCAGGATGAGGGTGCAGAGCCATTGAAGCAGAGAGTGGTAAGTTCAGTGGCGTTTCTGCCCTCTGCTGGCCCCCAGCTCTCTCCCTTTTTCCTCAGGAACCCAGGGGTCCAGGCCCAAGACCCTCCTCCCGTTTTCTTCCAGGAAGCCTCCATCTCAAAGGCAAACTCATTTTTGGGGGAGAAAGCAAGTGCTGGGCTCCTGGGTGCCCACGCAGCTGCCATCACGGCCTATGCCCTGACACTGACCAAGGCCCCTGCGGACCTGCGGGGTGTTGCCCACAACAACCTCATGGCAATGGCCCAGGAGACTGGAGGTGAGGGGTGAGGGGCTCTGGCAGTGAGCCTGAGGCCCAGGGGACCTTAGGATCCCTGAGTGTGCCCAGAGGGAGAGGCTGGATGAAGACTCAGAGGAGGAATGAAGTTATAAGCAGGGGTGGGTTGGGGGAGACTCAGGAGAGCCCAGCAGGGGGTGGCTAAGGGCCAGGGGACCAGGCTCTTCTCCCTGCCTTCCTGTTTACTCGTGGTCTCCCTTCACTTTCAGATAACCTGTACTGGGGCTCAGTCACTGGTTCTCAGAGCAATGCCGTGTCGCCCACCCCGGCTCCTCGCAACCCATCCGACCCCATGCCCCAGGCCCCAGCCCTGTGGATTGAAACCACAGCCTACGCCCTGCTGCACCTCCTGCTTCACGAGGGCAAAGCAGAGATGGCAGACCAGGCTGCGGCCTGGCTCACCCGTCAGGGCAGCTTCCAAGGGGGATTCCGCAGTACCCAAGTAGGGGCCGTCCCCGGGCTCTGGCGGGGGTGGGTAGTCCTCAGACCAAGGGCTTGCTTGAGTCCTGGCTCAACCTCCCTAGGACACGGTGATTGCCCTGGATGCCCTGTCTGCCTACTGGATTGCCTCCCACACCACTGAGGAGAGGGGTCTCAATGTGACTCTCAGCTCCACAGGCCGGAATGGGTTCAAGTCCCACGCGCTGCAGCTGAACAACCGCCAGATTCGCGGCCTGGAGGAGGAGCTGCAGGTGAACCACTCCCTGGTGAACCACTCCCTCGCCTGGGTAGCCAGGACACCTGGGCCTCGTGGCCAGGCCAGAAGCCGTCCCCACCCTCCCACCCGTGGAATCCCCGCAGCACTTCTTCCTGGGGTCTTCGGGGGAAGACTGACTTCCTGGCTGCGTGACCTGGAGCTCTGAGCTTCAGTTTTCTCACTTGTAGAGTAACATACACAGAGTTCACCCTACAGGGTCGTTAGAAGGCTGAAGTGAGATAATTCATGTGCTGGTATAAACTTTGTGGAAATGTGAGGTGGGGAGAGGAGGTGGGGCTGTTTTGAGGAAGGAGATAAGTTATTGGAGCCGCAAAAACAGGTTTGCTTGTGCCCTTCTAACATCGCCTTCCCTTTTCTGTTGCTGAAGTTTTCCTTGGGCAGCAAGATCAATGTGAAGGTGGGAGGAAACAGCAAAGGAACCCTGAAGGTGAGGGCCAGGGAAGGGGTGGGGCCAGGCACTGGTGGAGGAGAGGGTGTGGAGTGAGAGGCCTGTGGGCAGAGGCACATGGTCCGGGGAAGGAGGCAGACACCTCAGGGTTGGTGTCCCGTGCTTCCGTCCTGGGTGTTTTTCCCCCTGCTTGCTTTCGCTTGCTCTCCCCATCTCTGGGTACCTGTTGTTTCCTTTACCCGCCTCAGTGCTGGTGGCTCCGAATCCCACTCCTCAGCCCAGGCCTCTTCCCTGAACCATGGGCCCCACTCGTCCCACTCCCACAGCACCTCAGACGAGGCATGTCCCAAAGCCCTTCTTCATTCTGTGTCTCTTGTCTGGCTGGTGGGAGCCCCTCCCAGCCAGGAGCCCAGCCACTACTCTAGAGGCCGTGTTAGTGGCCCCTCTCCCAAGCCTGTCCTTATGTCCCTAGTGACTCCTCCTCTGCTCCCCTGCTGCCTGTGGCCCTTGGTGCTGCATCCTAGATTCTGTGCTGAGACGGCCTTCTCCCTACCTGGAACTTCTCTCTACCTCCTGTCTCCCCTGTCTGATCCACTGTCCACACGGCAGTGACACTGACCTTCCAAAAGCCCCAGCCAGATCAGCCTTGGGGAAAAGTCACTCCCCGCTGCCCACGGCTCAGATGGCTGGGCCTCTGCCCACCCCTCCGGCCAGACAGCTCTCCTTGTCTACACAGATCCCCTTGCCTTTCCTGTCCTTCCCTGCTTCTTGGCCCACAGGACAAGCTCTTTCTTCTCCTTCAAGCCTTGGCCAGAAGCCTTTCCTGAGCTTTTCAGTCCAGCCTCTTCCCAGCACAGTCTGGAGTGTTGGCCTCTGGGGGCAGGCCCCTGCTTCTTTACCTCTCTGTCTCGCCTGACGCCTGTGGCGAATGTGGTGCCACTCGTGTGTGTGGACTGTGCAGTGACGGGGAGGAAAAGGGGCTGAAGGCCTCAAATCCCGTAGCCCAGGGAGATGCCCTTAGGTATGGCACCAGAGAGGTCTGTGGCCTCACATGTCCCACGTCCTCTCCCTGCCCCTTGCTGAGCCAGGTCCTTCGTACCTACAATGTCCTGGACATGAAGAACACGACCTGCCAGGACCTACAGATAGAAGTGACAGTCAAAGGCCACGTCGAGTACACGAGTGAGTGTGGGGGTTGGGAGGCCTTGGGGCCAGGCAGGGGCTGGCGCAGGGAGCCGGGTGGCCATCCCAGCCCTCCTCACAATGCTTCCCTGTGCAGTGGAAGCAAACGAGGACTATGAGGACTATGAGTACGATGAGCTTCCAGCCAAGGATGACCCAGATGCCCCTCTGCAGCCCGTGACACCCCTGCAGCTGTTTGAGGGTCGGAGGAACCGCCGCAGGAGGGAGGCGCCCAAGGTGGTGGAGGAGCAGGAGTCCAGGGTGCACTACACCGTGTGCATCTGGTGGGCGCCGGGAGCTGCCCTGGGCCAGGGGAGGGAGGGCAGGACCCAGGCTGGGGCTGGGCTTCTGGAGCCCGCGCAGGCAGAACCTGGACGACAGCTCACACGTCTCCACAGGCGGAACGGCAAGGTGGGGCTGTCTGGCATGGCCATCGCGGACGTCACCCTCCTGAGTGGATTCCACGCCCTGCGTGCTGACCTGGAGAAGGTGTGGTCAGCCACCCAGGGCAACCCCCTCTGTCCCAGGTACTGAGCCCTGTCATGTGCAGGGCCTGTGACCAACTCCCCTTTTCCACAGCTGACCTCCCTCTCTGACCGTTACGTGAGTCACTTTGAGACCGAGGGGCCCCACGTCCTGCTGTATTTTGACTCGGTGAGTGGGGAGAGATGAGGCAGGAAGGGACTCGATGGCACCGGGTTTACTGAGTATGCGTTAGGAGGTTTCTCAGGAGACAGCTGTGTCAGCGGCTGGTGCTCTTGAGAACTTGTGATGTCATCAGAGAGAAGGACAAGAATGTGAGCCCGTGAGACACAGCAGAGTAAGGGGCAGACCTGCAGGCGGCAGGGACCGATGCCAGTCAGCAGGGACCCTCAGGGTTTGAGAGGGAGTCTTTCCTAATGCTGGTTTTATTCAGCTTGAGGGGCTGCCTTTGTTTTTTTGTTGAACTTCCTATCTTTTTTTTAATATTAAAGCGTATTTTCCTTTACAAAGTGATGGTGGCCATAGATGATAGTTGTATTTGTCTTTTCACGACCTTATTTGGCTAAAATAGTTATCAACCCTCTTACGGCTCTCAAAACATTTTTATTTATTTATTTAGTAAAGACAGGGTCTCGCTCTGTTGCCCAGGCTGGTCTTGAACTCCCGGCCTCAAGCGATCCTCTGGCCTAGGCCTTTCAAAGTACCGGATTTACAGGCCAGAGCCACCATGCCCGGCCTTCAAAAAAAGTTTTGGAACATTTACTGTAACCTCTGGGAGAAAATGTGAGAAAGGTGTGGTGGCTGTCATTAGCCAGCTGTTTGTAGGTCAGGGAGACCCCTACCCAGTGTGTGCAGAGGGGCCAGCCCCCATCAGCTGGGGAAGCCTGGCTGACACATCTGGGTTGAACACAATAGAAAACACAGAGCCAACAAGATTCCCGGATAGGGAGCTGACGGTGCAGCAGCCTAGCTCAGGAGGGACACTGGCACGGCACCGTGTGGACTGGGCCCGCGTGGGCACGAGGAGGGGTCAGGCCTGGGACCTGAGTCGGGGGGTCAGGCAGGATGACAGAACCTGCAGTTAGGTTGTGGCAAATAAAGGAGGACCCAGTTGTATCCATGACAAAGATGAGGCCGCGAGGAGGGCGAGTGGGTTTGGGGGCAGGCAGAGTGCCTTGGAGAACTTACAGGTCCTGCCACAATCCTAATGCAAGGATGGAGCTGCAAGTTCAGTTTGGGAATCATCAGCCTGGATTGGTTTGGTGGAAGCCAGGGAGTGGTTGAGACCCCCACAGGGGAGCTCTGAGGAAGGAAGTTCCGAAGGAGGGAACGTAAGAAATGACCAGGTCAGAACCAAGGGTGGTCCAGAAGCTAACCCTTAGCTTAGGGACAGTTTCACAGAGAACACGTCCATGATGCAAGACTCTGCTGAGGGCCTGGAGCAGTGAAGACTGGGGCAAGGTCACCCTCTGGGAAGTGAAGTCACCAGAGACCTTGCGGAGCAGCTTTGAGAGTTCTCTGAGTAGGAAGGTAACAGAATGTGAAGGACACTGGAGAGAAGGCCAATAGGAAGCAAACAAAAACAGGCCAAGGAAACCCAGTACAGGGGGCTGCAGGGCCCAGGGAGTGGGTCCCTCATCTCTCCTCCCCACGCTTGGCCAGGTCCCCACCTCCCGGGAGTGCGTGGGCTTTGAGGCTGTGCAGGAAGTGCCGGTGGGGCTGGTGCAGCCGGCCAGCGCAACCCTGTACGACTACTACAACCCCGGTGAGCACTGCAGGACACCCTGAAATTCAGGAGAACTTTGGCATAGGTGCCCTCCTATGGGACAATGGACACCGGGGTAGTGAGGGGGCAGAGAGCCCTGGGGCTCCCTGGGACTGAGGAGGCAGAATGGAGGGGCCTGTGCCCTAACTCCTCTCTGTTCTCCAGAGCGCAGATGTTCTGTGTTTTACGGGGCACCAAGTAAGAGCAGACTCTTGGCCACCTTGTGTTCTGCTGAAGTCTGCCAGTGTGCTGAGGGTGAGACTGAGGGCCTGGGGCGGGGCAGTGGAGGCGGGATGGCCGGGGCCCCCCCCACACTGTCTGATGGGTTCCCCAACTTCAGGGAAGTGCCCTCGCCAGCGTCGCGCCCTGGAGCGGGGTCTGCAGGACGAGGATGGCTACAGGATGAAGTTTGCCTGCTACTACCCCCGTGTGGAGTACGGTCAGTCTTCCCACCGAGGCCCTGGCCTGACCCTCCCTCGGGGACCGGCTGTTTTGGTCTCTCTGGGTGTAGCCTGCTCCTCTTACAGGTCATGCACGCAGCCTGTTTGCTCTGACACCAACTTCCTACCCTCTCAGCCTCAAAGTAACTCACCTTTCCCCCTTCTCCTCACCCCCTCTTAGGCTTCCAGGTTAAGGTTCTCCGAGAAGACAGCAGAGCTGCTTTCCGCCTCTTTGAGACCAAGATCACCCAAGTCCTGCACTTCAGTATGAAGCAAACCGGAGAGGCGGGCAGGGCTGGGGGGAGACAGGGAGGCTGAGGTGTGGCCGAGGACCTGACCATCTGGAAGTGTGAAAATCCCCTTGGGCTGTCAGAAGCCTTGGGCTTGGCCATAAATAGGGAGGCAGTGGCACCTCTCCATGGGGGTGGCGAAGGTGGAATGAGAGGATCTACACAGAGTCCCCAGCCTGGGCTCACCCTGCACCTTCTCTTCCCCTCTGACCACTTTTGCGCACGTCATCCCCGCAGCCAAGGATGTCAAGGCCGCTGCTAATCAGATGCGCAACTTCCTGGTTCGAGCCTCCTGCCGCCTTCGCTTGGAACCTGGGAAAGAATATTTGATCATGGGTCTGGATGGGGCCACCTATGACCTCGAGGGACAGTGAGTCATCTGGTCCCCTCAGTCTCTTGTCCTCCCCATGCCTCGCCACCTAGGCCTTGCCCCTCAGAAGCCAGATGCCTGTGCTCTCCGTTTCCACCTGCCATCCTCCCGAGCCCTGCTGACTGCCCCTTTGCCCCCTGCAGCCCCCAGTACCTGCTGGACTCGAATAGCTGGATCGAGGAGATGCCCTCTGAACGCCTGTGCCGGAGCACCCGCCAGCGGGCAGCCTGTGCCCAGCTCAACGACTTCCTCCAGGAGTATGGCACTCAGGGGTGCCAGGTGTGAGGGCTGCCCTCCCACCTCCGCTGGGAGGAACCTGAACCTGGGAACCATGAAGCTGGAAGCACTGCTGTGTCCGCTTTCATGAACACAGCCTGGGACCAGGGCATATTAAAGGCTTTTGGCAGCAAAGTGTCAGTGTTGGCAGCGAAGTGTCAGTGTGTGTTGCTAGGGCTGAGAGCAGTGCCCCTGCCCGATGCAGTTCTGGGCAGGCCAGGTTGACATAACCTTAGACTCTCTGAGCCCTGATGACCCTTGGGCTGTTCAGCTCTGCTAGAACCTCCCAGATGACCCGCTAGGAGTCTAGTGCTTCACAGGACCACCCCGAGCAGAACTGGGACCCAAGAGCCTGCACCCCAAGGACCAGAGTCCATGCCAAGACCACCCTTCAGCTTCCAAGGCCCTCCACTGCCCGGCTGTCGCCAGTCACCACGGCCTCAGACAGGGCTTGTGCTCAGCTGACACCTGTGACACAGCTCTTCTGCCTCATGAGCTGTTGTCCAGCTACACCTCCCCGACTCTGTCCTCGTGCTGCTGGCGGTTCTGAGGTCTGCAGATTTTAGCTGAGTTCCGGGCTGTTGAAAGCCTGCTGACGCTTGGTTCTGTTATCAGTGGAATGAGGTGACTTTCCCGGAGTTGTGCAATCCTCAGGTCCGGCAGTGTCTTCTTCCAGTTACTGGTTTCAAACAAGCCAAAAGTCTGACTTTGGTGTGTTTGTGAATCCTCTGAGGAAGCCGCTGTTCTCCTGGGGTCTCCCCTTCCCACCGGACCTGCCTAACTTTCCCCCATTTAGTGGCACACCTGGGGTCTTCAGAGATGACTCCGCGTCTGTCCAAAGAAGTTTGGTGAGATCAGTTTCCGTAGAGGTCATGACAGTTCAGCAGCCTGCCATCCAGTCATTCGACAGAAATTCGGGAATCTTTCACTTCATGCCATGCCCTGTGCCAGGTGCCAGAGATACAGCTGCTCACTCCAGGGTTCATCGCTGGGGAGACAGATAAGAGGACGGGCAGTCCCCACCCTCTGTGAAAGATGTGATGTCAGGGAGCAGTGTGGTCCTGTGGGGCATCTAACCAAGTCAGGGGCATTGCCAGGCAGGGACAGGGAAGGCTTCCTGGAGCAGGTGGCCTCCAAGTGGGGCTCTGAAGACTGAGAAGGAGCCAGGCAAAGAGCAGGGGTAGATGAGGGCATCTGGGGCAGAAGGAGAATATACAAAGGCCCAGAGGCCGGGGGCAGGACAGGGTACCTTTGGGGACATTGCATGTAATTGACCACATTCGGAGTTTGGATTTGGAAGTGGTGGAAGAGATGGAGATGGTGAGACAAGTAGTAAGCACGTCAGCCTTCCAGGTGCGCTCCTTTCCGATGAGCACTGTCTTATCCCATGTAACTTTGAGAAGTTTGGGCCTTTCCCACTGTGGCAGAGGTTTCCTGAGGCTCTTGCATACATGGCCCTATGGTTGCTCATCAGATCTTTCTCCCAGTAGCTGCTCAGCATGGTGGTGGCATAAGCCCATTTTCCGGAGCCAGGGATTCAGTTGCAGCAAGACATGGCCCGGTCTGGGAGGTCAACCATGAAGAAGGCAGTAGCTGTCATTGCCCAACCCCAGAAATCCCAATCCTGTTTTCTCCCTCTCAGTCCTGATCATGGATTCAGCAGCAGCGAACTCGCCAATGTAGTGGGTGGCACAGCCAGGGTCTTGACTCTGGCTCTGCAGTAGCACAGTCTGGAAAAGCTCTGAGGGGAGAGAGACCCCCACTGGTCCGAGGGTCTGGCACAGAGCCAGAAATGGGGGGGAAGGTATGAGGCTGGGTCGCCTCTGACCTCTCAGGTACCATCCAGGAGGCCCTGGCCTCTCACTGAACCCGGCCACTCCTCTTTGGCATGGCCTCTTCCCAAATCCCCAAACTGCCTCCTTACCCACAAAAGTGGTCTCTGAGTGTCAGTCCAGTGGGACCCCCACCCCTTATGGCTTCAGTTCCCCAAATAGGGCTGGACCCTTGATCCTGATCCAGCTGTGGCTATCCAGCCCCTTCCTGGGGACTTTGGACTTTGAGGGGGGCATGCCCAGTTGTGCTGGGAATCCATACTTTCCCTGGCTGGAGTAGAACCTGTGGACTGTAGTCCTGAGGGCAGTCATGTTCTGCCTGTGCCTGGAAACACAAGAAACTTGACTGCAGAGAGAAGAAAGAGGAGAGAGGAACAGAGCGAGGAAACCGCCCGTCTCCGGGGCTTTTTCTGTTCCCTATCCTTGACTTTCTAAGACCAGTGGGGTCCCCTCCTCTGCTTCTTTTTCCTGAGTTCTGTGAAATTCCCCAATTCTTATTTTTTATCTCAAACCAGCTCAAGGTGGGCTGTTTTCCTTTCAACCAAAGAAAGGTGCTCCTGGTGGCTAAAGGTACATATTCGACAGCTAGATTTCCAGGCTGGAATCCTGCCCTCCACAACATGCGAACAATACCCGTGTTGCATATAGAGCATGGCTGTGAAGAGTTGAGTGAGTGCCCACAAAGCACTTAGAGCAGTGTCTGGTACATGCTATTACTCCGCAGCGGGAAACCACTTCCTCCTTTGTCTTCTGGGCACTTTTGTGAGTGAAAGGAGGCACTAATAACAATCACACTGGGATACCTGTATATACTGGAATGCCCCAGGCAAACCAGGCTTAAACTGTATTACTCTATCTGTAGCTTAAACTAACAAACAACCCACACAAATCACATTTTGTTCTTCAGGCGATTCAGGAAGGCCTATTAGGCAGGGACTGCCATTTTCTCTCTGAGACAAACATCATGCCAGTAAACTGGCCCACGGTGGGGTGGCAGAGGGAGAGGGCCCAGGTGGGGGCGGACACTATTGCCTGCACAGTTGATGTGGAACCAGAAAGCTGACTCTGGATGCAGGAAAAAGGTCAGGGTTGCATTTCCCTTCCTTGCTTCTTGATGGGTGATCAATTTTTTTGAAATACGGACGTCCCAAGGCCAATGAGACTGGTGTCATTCCAGAAAAGGGCCACTCTGTGGGCGGGTCGGTGGGAGGGTACCTGAAGGTGGGGTCAAGGGAGGCCCCAAAACAGTCTACACAGCAGGAGGGATGGCTGGGGCTCTTGAGCTATAAGTGGCACCTCAGGGCCCTGACGGGCGTCTCGCCATGCTGCTCCTGGGCCTGCTGCTGCTGCTGCCCCTGCTGGCTGGCGCCCGCCTGCTGTGGAACTGGTGGAAGCTCCGGAGCCTCCACCTCCCGCCTCTTGCCCCGGGCTTCTTGCACTTGCTGCAGCCCGACCTCCCAATCTATCTGCTTGGCCTGACTCAGAAATTCGGGCCCATCTACAGGCTCCACCTTGGGCTGCAAGGTGAGAGGCTGATCTCGCTCTGGCCCTCACCATAGGAGGGGGCGGAGGTGACGGAGAGGGTCCTCTCTCCGCTGACGCTGCTTTGGCTGTCTCCCAGATGTGGTGGTGCTGAACTCCAAGAGGACCATTGAGGAAGCCATGGTCAAAAAGTGGGCAGACTTTGCTGGCAGACCTGAGCCACTTACCTGTAAGGGCCGGGGGCATTTTTTCTTTCTTAAAAAAATTTTTTTTTAAGAGATGGGTTCTTGCTATGCTGCCCAGGCTGGTCTTAAATTCCTAGTCTCAAATGATCCTCCCACCTCAGCCTCAAGTGTGAGCCACCTTTGGGGCATCCCCAATCCAGGTCCCTGGAAGCTCTTGGGGGGGCATATCTGGTGGGGAGAAAGCAGGGGTTGGGGAGGCAGAAGAAGGTCAGGCCCTCAGCTGCCTTCATCAGTTCCCACCCTCCAGCCCCCAACTCCTCCTGCAGACAAGCTGGTGTCTAGGAACTACCCGGACCTGTCCTTGGGAGACTACTCCCTGCTCTGGAAAGCCCACAAGAAGCTCACCCGCTCAGCCCTGCTGCTGGGCATCCGTGACTCCATGGAGCCAGTGGTGGAGCAGCTGACCCAGGAGTTCTGTGAGGTAAGGCTGGGCTCCTGAGGCCACCTCGGGTCAGCCTTGCCTCTCACAGTAGCCCCCGCCCTGCCCGCTGCACAGCGGCCTGCTGAACTCACACTGTTTCTCCACAGCGCATGAGAGCCCAGCCCGGCACCCCTGTGGCCATTGAGGAGGAATTCTCTCTCCTCACCTGCAGCATCATCTGTTACCTCACCTTCGGAGACAAGATCAAGGTGCCTCACAGCCCCTCAGGCCCACCCCCAGCCCCTCCCTGAGCCTCTCCTTGTCCTGAACTGAAAGTACTCCCTCCTTTTCTGGCAGGACGACAACTTAATGCCTGCCTATTACAAATGTATCCAGGAGGTGTTAAAAACCTGGAGCCACTGGTCCATCCAAATTGTGGACGTGATTCCCTTTCTCAGGGTGAGGACCTGGAGCCTAGACACCCCTGGGTTGTAGGGGAGAGGCTGGGGTGGAGGGAGAGGCTCCTTCCCACAGCTGCATTCTCATGCTTCCTGCCGCAGTTCTTCCCCAATCCAGGTCTCCGGAGGCTGAAGCAGGCCATAGAGAAGAGGGATCACATCGTGGAGATGCAGCTGAGGCAGCACAAGGTGGGGACTGTACGTGGACGGCCTCCCCTCGGCCCACAGCCAGTGATGCTACCGGCCTCAGCATTGCTATGAGGCGGGTTCTTTTGCATACCCCAGTTATGGGCCTGTTGCCACTCTGTACTCCTCTCCCCAGGCCAGCCGCTCAGCCCGCTCCTTTCACCCTCTGCAGGAGAGCCTCGTGGCAGGCCAGTGGAGGGACATGATGGACTACATGCTCCAAGGGGTGGCGCAGCCGAGCATGGAAGAGGGCTCTGGACAGCTCCTGGAAGGGCACGTGCACATGGCTGCAGTGGACCTCCTGATCGGTGGCACTGAGACCACAGCAAACACCCTCTCCTGGGCCGTGGTTTTTTTGCTTCACCACCCTGAGGTGCGTCCTGGGGACAAGCAAAAGGCTCCTTCCCAGCAACCTGGCCAGGGCGGTGGGCACCCTCACTCAGCTCTGAGCACTGTGCGGCTGGGGCTGTGCTTGCCTCACCGGCACTCAGGCTCACTGGGTTGCTGAGGGAGCGGCTGGAGGCTGGGCAGCTGTGGGCTGCTGGGGCAGGACTCCACCCGATCATTCCCCAGATTCAGCAGCGACTGCAGGAGGAGCTAGACCACGAACTGGGCCCTGGTGCCTCCAGCTCCCGGGTCCCCTACAAGGACCGTGCACGGCTGCCCTTGCTCAATGCCACCATCGCCGAGGTGCTGCGCCTGCGGCCCGTTGTGCCCTTAGCCTTGCCCCACCGCACCACACGGCCCAGCAGGTGACTCCCGAGGGTTGGGGATGAGTGAGGAAAGCCCGAGCCCAGGGAGGTCCTGGCCAGCCTCTAACTCCAGCCCCCTTCAGCATCTCTGGCTACGACATCCCTGAGGGCACAGTCATCATTCCGAACCTCCAAGGCGCCCACCTGGATGAGACGGTCTGGGAGAGGCCACATGAGTTCTGGCCTGGTATGTGGGGGGCCGGGGGCCTGCCGTGAAAATGTGGTGGAGGCTGGTCCCCGCTGCCGCTGAACGCCTCCCCACCCACCTGTCCACCCGCCCGCAGATCGCTTCCTGGAGCCAGGCAAGAACTCCAGAGCTCTGGCCTTCGGCTGCGGTGCCCGCGTGTGCCTGGGCGAGCCGCTGGCGCGCCTGGAGCTCTTCGTGGTGCTGACCCGACTGCTGCAGGCCTTCACGCTGCTGCCCTCCGGGGACGCCCTGCCCTCCCTGCAGCCCCTGCCCCACTGCAGTGTCATCCTCAAGATGCAGCCTTTCCAAGTGCGGCTGCAGCCCCGGGGGATGGGGGCCCACAGCCCGGGCCAGAGCCAGTGATGGGGCAGGACCGATGCCAGCCGGGTACCTCAGTTTCTCCTTTATTGCTCCCGTACGAACCCCTCCCCTCCCCCCTGTAAACACAGTGCTGCGAGATCGCTGGCAGAGAAGGCTTCCTCCAGCGGCTGGGTGGTGAAGGACCCTGGCTCTTCTCTCGGGGCGACCCCTCAGTGCTCGGCAGTCATACTGGGGTGCGAGAGAGGTGGGCAGCAGCTCAGCCTCCCCCCGCTGGGGAGCGAAAGTTTCTTGGTCTCAGCTTCATTTCCGTGAAGGGCACCGAGAACTCGAAGCCCTTCCAGTGGTACCAGCTCACTCCCTGGGAAAGGGGTTGTCAAGAGAGAGTCAAAGCCGGATGTCCCATCTGCTCCTCCCGTTCCCCTTAAGGAGGTGGCTCCCAGCACTCAACCAACCTCCCCGCAGAGCTCCCTTCCTGACCCTCTGCCGCAGAGGATTGAGGCTTAATCCTGAGCTGGTCCTTTCCAGCCAATAAATCAACTCCAGCTCCCTCTGCGAGGCTGGCATGATTGTTCCATTTCACCCAGCCGCTCAGTCCCTTGCCTGTTACACTGTGGGGCTGAAACCTAGGCAGGCCGAGCCCCAGCCACCCCAGCTCTGAGCCGCCTCCCCACCCCTCACCTGATGGTCCACTGTGCTCCCGTAGAGCCCGTTGAGGTTGGCGTAGTGGCAGTTCCTGTACCACCAGGCCCCTCGGTAGGAGACAGCGCAGGAGATGAGCAAGCTGTTGGGGTCCCGATCACGGGCAGAGAAGACACTGCCGCTGTGGTAGCTCATGGAGTCCCCTGGGCAGGGTGGAGGAAGGAGCCATGAGGGCCTCCCCTCCCAGCCTCACCCTCCCAGCCTCACAGCCTCTGCTTACCTGCGGTGCCGTGGTAGCCCTCCAAGTGGAGGCGGTAGTACTCCGCAGCCGAGTCTACGTGGAAGGAGTCGTACTGGGCGAACACAGCCTCGTCCCCAGCCCGCAGGTCCACGCGCATGGAGTAGTCACCTGCCTGTGTCAGGCTGTGCAGGGCCTCATTGCCTGGGGGTGGGATACGTGCCCTCATCAGGGTCCTGGTGTCCACAGGGCCCCCATCCCCATCCGTAGTTCCCCAGTCCCTGTGAGGCACTGACCCAGCCAGAACTCTCCAGAGATGTTCCCAAAACCATGGGCATAGTCCTCCCAGTCCCTCCAGAAGTCTGTCTGTCCATCCATGCGGCGCTGGAACACCTGGGAAGCAAGTGGGGGCACCATCAGCCTCTGGCTCCCGGGGCAACAGCCCCTTGCCCTGCACAGACCCCTGGGCTTCCCAATGCCACCCACCAGCCAGCCGCCCCCATCAGTCTCCATGTCGCAAAACACGTTCAGGGGCCGCTCGCGGTTGCCGTTGAGGAAGATGGTGCTGGTCCTGGAGGCACCGGCTCCGTTCTGCATCTCCTCCCCGCAGTCCCTGGGGAAGGGGATCCG
This sequence comes from Homo sapiens, assembly GCF_000001405.40. Taxonomy (NCBI): domain Eukaryota; kingdom Metazoa; phylum Chordata; class Mammalia; order Primates; family Hominidae; genus Homo; species Homo sapiens. The sequence continues at coordinate 3,284,008 of NT_167245.2, forward strand.
CAGCCCACCTGGGAGAGGAGAGCAGGGGCCAGTCCTTTTCCAAGCCTTAGGCCCTGGCTGCCCACCCAGCCCCCGGCCCCGGGCCCGTGCGTCCAGGTACCCGTGGTGAAAGAGGTGGACACGGGCGGCAGGAGGCTCTGGCCCCACGTGGCCTGGAGCCGTGCATTGTAGGAGGTGGAGGGAAAGAGGCCAAGGAGCTGGTGAGATGTGATCCCTCCTGGGAGCAGGATCTCCTGTGGGACAGACAAGGGGGGGTCAGGGGAGAGGGAGGTGGAGACCCTCCGGGAGGGCCAGAGGCAGCACCTCCTGGAATCACCCAGGGAGGGGAGTTGGGTCAGTGGGGCCGGGGCACCTGGGTCTGTCCACCAGGGGTGTGGAAGCTGAGCAGGTAGCCTGCGGGCCGGACTGGGGGCTCAGTCCAAGTGAGCAGGGCGGTGCGGGGGGTCACTTCCTTGGCCTCCAAGTCCCGAGGGGCCTCTAGCCCTAGGAGGGAAAGCAGGAAGAGGAGATGGGGATGAGGCCCAACCTGGCTCCCTCTACCTCCTCTCCCTGTCCCACACACCCCACAGACCCTACCTGTGGTGAAGGTGATGCTGGCTGGGGAAGTGAGGTTGGGGCCCCGCAGGCCACGCACTGTGGCGGTGTAGTTGGTGTGGAGGACAAGGTCATGCAGGGGGTAGTCCACCGCGCTGCCTGGGGTCTCCGCCTGCAGAGGCGGGGCTGGGAGTGTAGAGAGGGGCATCAAGGCCTGCCCCCTCCATCCTCGGCCAGAGTCCAGCCTCCCCCCTGCAATCCCCACCCTGAACAAGTCCCCTCCAGAGGCCTCAGCCCTGCTCACCCCCAGGGGCTGTGACCTGGATGTCATAGGTGTCTACAGGATTCTGGGGGGGCTTCCAGTGCAGCACGGCGAATCCCTCGGTCAAGTTCAGTGCACGCAACTGTGTGGGACCGTCAGGAACTGGGGGAAGGGGAGGGGCTCAGAGGGGTCCCCGCGGCTCTCTCTACTCCGTGCCTCCCCAGACTCCACTGGCCTCCCGTCCGCAATCGGAGCCTCCACCACCTCCCTTTCACCCTCCTCGTTCTCTCTCAACTCCCACCCATGCCGTTTTCTTGGCTCCCACCTCTTGCCCCGGGTCCCAGTCCATCTCACCCGTGGTGAGGAAGCCTGTGAGAGGCTCACTCTCCTCAAAGCCTCGGACCGAGACCACGGTCACCTCATAGCGAGCGCCTGGGATCAGCCCCTGGAGTTTCTGGGTCCGGGCCTGGCCATCCACCTGCACACTCTGAGGCTCCCCTGAAAACATTGGGGATCGAGGGTTACCCAGGGAACCCCAGGGCGGCTGGAGGGTGGGCAGAGTGCAGGGGGGAGAGGAAATGCGAGGCGATGAGCACATGGCAAAGGCACCACCTCCGTCCGCCAGCTGGTAGGAGACTTTGAAGCTGTCCGCCCGGGATGGTGGGGGCATCCAGTTGACCTTGGCTGAGGTCTCCCTGATTTCACTGAATTGGAGGTCACGGGGGCTCTCCAGAACTGCAGAGGGGTCAAGGAACAATGACGCAGGCAGGGGCAGGGAGGCTCCTCCCTGCGAGTCCCCCCCTCGCCTCTGCTCCAGCACAGGCTCACCACCCCTTTTCCTCTAGTCCCCAGGAATGGAAGTCGCTCTGCAGATTCCTCCAGGCCCACCACCAACTCGCCCACCCCCACCGCTGGCTGAGGCACTAGGTCCCCCCCGTGAAGTACAAAGACCCCCACTTTGGGGCAGAGTGTGTGTGGGTCCTTACCTGGGCTGAGGGTGCGGGCGGTTCCCTGGATGCTGTCGGCCTTGTGGGGTCCTCGCAGCCCATACAGTGTCAGGCTGTACAGAGTCCCGGAACGCAGGTCCCGGAGCACGGCCGAGTGCCGCGTCCCCGGCACCATCAGCTCGCGCTGCAGCAGTGGACGCGGATGCGGCTCCAGAGTGCTTGGTGATGGAACCCCAAAGCGGAGCAGGAAGGAGTCGAAGGCCCCCGGTGGGGCCTCCCAGTTGAGCCTCAGTGAACTGGTGGTCACGTCAGTCACAGACAGCTGGGACAGGCGGGGCCTTGACTCCTCTGAGGTCTGACCAGCAGGAGCCAGCCCTGCACGGAGTGGGTGGGGGAGAAGGGATTGGAGACAGAAGCACACCAGCTTGGTGACCCAGAGCACGTCCCTTCCACCCCCCTCCCTGCCCCCGTTTCTCTATCTGTAACCAGGGACTTGCAGCCACAGGGGGGTCCTGTGGGGCAGAGCTAAAGGCCACTCGCATCCAGCCCATCCATCCTCTCTCCCTGGTACCCGCCTCACGCTCTTTCCCTGCGACCACCCCTTCTGAGCCCCCGTTTCTCCCTTCTGAGTCCTAGGCTAGAGGCCGGAGACGCCTGGTGGTACCTGTGGTGCCCTCAGCTGAGAGGGGCCCCAGGCGCTTCCCTTCATGGAGGCCATAGAGGAGGAACCTGTAGGGGGTGCTGGGCTCCAGGCCTGAGATGAGGATCTTGCTCTGGTCGCCGTCCACGAGCAAGGCCTGGGGCTGCCCGTTCGTGTCCTCATACTGGACCACGAAGGAATCAAAGGGGCCCTGGGCCACGCTCCACGAGAGGCGCATGGAGTCTGGGGTTGTGTCGGTCACGGTCAGCACTCCTAGGCGGGGCTCTTCAGGAGGCTCAGGGGCCTCTGGGGCTAACTCTGGGGCTGGTGTGTCCTCTTCTGGGGCTGCGTGGGAGAAGCCCAGGGGAGAATCTGAGTGAGGGGCGCCATGGGGTGCTCCATTTTTATCTTCCAGGCTTGGCCCAAGGCTGAGGTGGGAAGTTTATAGGTCCAGGCCCAGTCAGACAATGAAGTCGCTGTGGCCTCGTGACTCCTGCGAGCTCCCGCGCTGTCTGAGTCAGGTGCTCGCTTCCCCCTTCCACACCCCGGTGTCCTGCCGAGCCCACCTCGAGATATCACAGGCTCTGGCCCCACCCATGCCGGGATACATTCACTGAGCTTGAGGAGTGTGGTGCTCCCTTCTGAGAGAAGCTGAGGGTGGAACTGGCTGGTTGAGGTGACTGGCAAATCCCACCAGCCGTGCCGTGGTCAGGCCTGTCTGAGGTGGGCATCAGCGAGCTCTGGAAGAGGAGCCTGTACCACAAATGCAGCCACTGCTGTTGGTTTCTGTGTCCCCGCTCATTTTGTTTTCCAGTGATGTTCCTCTTAAGAAAATGCTCCTGACTCATCCACGGCAGGGAGGTTTGCCGCTATCTGGACAAGGCCACCCTTCGGGGAGGCGACAGCAGCCCCAGCGAGTAATGAGGAGCAGTGGCAGTGACGGGGCAGAGTCGGGGCTGGGAGATTAGAGAGCCCCTCCCAGGGCCTTTCCCTCCCGCCTGGCCTGGCTCCTGCTCTGGACTCCTTGATGGATGTTGAAGCCCACAGGGCTGCAGACTCCTCCTCCTTCCTGGGGACAGGCCAGGGCGCCCCACTCCGGCCTGCCCACTCCTGCAGTCATCTTTGTCTTCAGCCCAAATGCACAAGGAAACCCACACAAGCTGGCTTGCTATAGCCAGGCACAGCAGCCTCACCTGTCATTCCCAGGGCAGAGACCGGGCCCAGGCGCTTTCCCCCAAGGAGCCCGTAGAGCAGAAACTTGTATTTCTTGCCAGGCTCCAGGTCCTCTACGGTGACTGTGCGCTGGTCTGCGGCCACAGGCACTGCCCTGGGCTGCCCGTCCGTGTCCCTGTACTGGACCACGAAGGAGTCAAAGGGGCCCTGGGCTACCGTCCAGGACAGGCGCAGAGAGCTGGAGGTCTCCTCAGCCACGGTCAGTTCCCCCAGGTGGGGAGGTAGCTCCTTCTCCAGGGGAGCTGTGCAGAGGGAGGAGGGAAAGCTCTTAGTCACATGCTGCCTTTGCCTAAGCCCTGGCAGCCTCCCGGAGGTGTGAGGTTCTGGGAAATGGTCCCTCCAGTGTAGCCCCAGGGACAGCTCCTTGAGGAGACACACAGGCCTGCTCCCGCCATGCCCCACAGGAATGAGGGAGAACAGCCCCCTCCTCCTCTGGAGGCTGCTGCCCAAACTCCTTCCTGCCCTGCCCCTTCCCTGCTGTGATCGAGGATGCGCCAAATTCATTACAGATCATCTCCCGAGGGATGGGTGGCTGGGGGTGCAGAGAGGGCCTTTGTTTACCCTGACCCCCAGCCCCTGAGCAGGAATGAGGCCAGAGCTGAGAGAGACTCCCCGGAGGTCTCTGGGTTGTCACGGAGACACCCCAAACATCGAGAGCTGGTCTGGGCAGCCGGCCAATGCACGGCTCCCATCACTGCCAGGCTGTGATCTCCCCCTTGTCCCCTTGTGGCCATCAGCCTGAACATCCGTGCCTCCTGCTTCCCCAGCCCCACACTGACCCCACTGGGCCGGGGCAGCCAGGGTGGGGCAGGGAGAAGACAGGGGATTAGCTGGGAGAACAGAGGGCAGAGCAGAGGCTTGCCCGGGTGGGGCTGGGGCCGATGGGTGGGGATCTGTACCCCGTCCCCACAGTGAGGGTTTGGGAAGAGAATTACGGAGTCCCAGGGACCCAGGCCCAGACTGGCCGGCTGCTCTGTCCTCCTCTGGGCATAGTGACTCATGGTCCTGGGAGTGGGGTGAGGGTCGGTGACCCACCACACCCCTTCCTCAGGGAGCTGAGTCATAGGCATAGTGACACCAGGTTTTTCCATCGTCTTTCCATAGCCAAGCCCTCCCTTTTCTTCCACCCCTCGGCTCCGAGTCAGGGAGGAGGGAGGAGGATGGGAACCACTACTGAGTCCAGCGCCATTCCCAGCATTATGCAGGTGAGGACACTGAGGTCCCGGGGATGAAGCGGCTTGTCCATGGTCACCCTGGCAAAGGCTAGGACTGGAACTGGAACACAGATCTGCTGGCCCCAAAGCCCGTGTCCCTTTTATTTCCTCAGCAGTCAGCGAATGAAAGGAAGTAATGCATATGCTTCAGAACTGTGCCTGACACACAGAGGGACTCACTTTCGGAGTTAAGATGGTTGTGTCAGGGCTGATAGAGGGAATCTCACGGGAAGGCTGCAGGGCCAGCTCTGAGGGCTCGGATGAGAGGCAGCTCTGGAAAAGGTGGAGGCTGGACTGGGACTCACCTGTGGTGCTGTCAGCAGAGATGGGGCCCAGTCGTTTCCTGCCTGACAGACCATAGAGCAGGAACCTGTATTTCCTACTGGGCTCCAGGCCCTGGACTGTGACCTCCCGCTGGTTGGCTGCCACCGGCACCACCTGGAGCCGACCATCCTTATCCTTGTACTGGACCACGAAGGAGTCGAATTCGCCCTCAGGGACCGTCCACGAGAGGCCCACGGAGTCAGGGGTCGCATCTGTCACAGTCAGCTCCCCCAGGCGGGGAGACGGTTTGGTGTCTGGGGCTGGAAAAGACAGTGAGGTGCATGGAGAGTGGGATGGAGGCAAAGGGGCCACGGAGCTTCCTGGGCTGCTATGGCTCTGTGAGCCGGTCCCAGGAACGGGAGGGTGACTGGGCCAGGAGTAGGAATAAAAGAGGAGCCAGACAAGAAAGCAAGTGTCCCCTGGGGTGCAGGGAAAGTAGGGAGAGGGATGAGTGTGAGTGGGAGAGGAGAGCTCAGGGCCTGGGTTTTCCTGGACCCAATAAATCAGTGGGTGCTGAGGACTGGAGTGTGGGGCACAGAACGTGAAATTCCAACAGGTGCCACAAGGGGGCGAAGGCTCTGGCCGCGGGAGGCCTCCAGCCCTCACTCACCGGTCCTGGCCTCCACAGGGACTGGGCCGTGGCGTTTCCCATTCTGGAGTCCAAAGAGCAGGAACTTGTACTTGCGGGCCGGGTCCAGCCCCGAGACGGCGACCGCTCGGAGGTCTCCGCTCACAGGCACTGCCTGGGGCTGCCCCTGCGCGTCCCTGTACTGTACCAGGAAGGAGTCAAAGGGGCCCTGGGCCACCGTCCATGAGAGGCCCACTGAGTCCGAGGTCACGGCCGCCACCGCCAGCTCCCCCAGGCGGGGCTCCACCGGCAGTGGTGTGGGCAGGGGCGCTGAAAAGAGCAGAGCAGGCCCATGGGTCAGGAGGCAGGACCCTGCGCAAGGGAGGCAGTGCTCTCCCAGGACTGGAGTGAGCATTTCTTAGCGGCCTCCTCTAAAACGCTTGTTTTAGAATCTGTGCCCTGCATTGCTGTAAGCAGCTCACAAACAGTGGTGCATTTAACCCTCGCACAACATATGAAGTGGGTGCCATTATTATCATCACCCCAACTTTGCAGGAATCTGAAGCACAAGGTTAGGAAACGCCTGCAAAGTCGCACAATCACTACATTCGAAGGCACATGCAGATCTGGGCAGCTGGATCTGAAGCACTTTCTGAGCCACTAAAATACTCCTTAAGGGAGCCTGAAGACTAACAAATGAGCACACGAGCAACATGGAGGTTCCAGATCACAATGGGAGAAGGAAGCTACAACAAACAGGGCATGGACTACCTGCCCATCTGACTCCACACAGTCTCCATGAATCCAAGGATGAGGCAGGATCATTAGCAACATGGGAGAAAAGACAGAAACCTAGAGGCCCAGTCAAAAGAGGTGCCAAGATCCAAAGGAGAAACACAAGGGGGCTGCAGAGGTAAACCTGGGGACGAGGGCCTGTCCCCCCACTCACCCGTGATGCCCACGGTGGACACTGGGCCCACGCGCTGCCCCTCGTGGAGGCCGTACAGATGCATCTTGTATTTGCGCCCGGGCTCCAGGCCCCCCACGGTGACCTCGCTCTCCTCGCCCCTGACACGCACCACCTGGGGCTGCCCGTCCCTGTCCTTGTACTGCACGGTGAAGGAGTCGAAGCGGCCCTGGGGGATGGTCCAGGAGAGGCTCAGCGAGTCAGGGGAGGATCCTGTCACTGTCAACTCCCCCAGGAGCGGCTCCTCAGGGGCCTCCGGGGCCTCAGTGCTGGGTTCTGTGGGGCTGGGGGTCTCTTCCTCTGCAGTGGAGAAGGAGGGAGAGAGAGTGAGGGGGATGTCCTTGGGTCCTGGGGAAAAGGAGGGAGAAGCCAAGGCTATGACTGGGGGACCTGAGGTCATTTCAGAGAAGTCCATTCTTGGGGCTGGGTGGTCCTGCTCAGCTGACAGCTAACACACGTAACAAGTTCCAGGGTCAGCTGTGGGGGACCTGGCACAGCCACCAGCACAGCAAAACTCCTGATGGCCCCTCCCTGCTCAGGGGGAGCCAGGGGTCAACCACATAGGAAGGCCCAAGGGGAGTCCCAGCCCCAGCCACAAGCAGTTCTGTGGTGCTGACCAGACCCCTGTCCCATTCCCCACCAGTCATCACCAAAGAGCAAGAGGTGGCCCTCCCACAGCTCCCACCCTGGGGCTCCCATCATTCACTCACCCGTCACCCCAATGGCAGACACAGGGCCTACGCGCTGGCCACCGTGGAAGCCGTACAGGTTCATCTTGTATTTATGGTCTGGCTCCAGGCCTGAGATGGTGACCCCGTCCTCGTGCCCCGGCACCCGCACCGCCTTGGGCTGCCCATCCCCATTCCTGTACTGGACCAGGAAGTGGTCAAACTGGCCCTCGGGAACCATCCAGGACAGGCTGAGGGAGTCGGGGGTGGCATCTGTCACGGTCAGCTCCCCCAGGCGAGGCTTGATGGGGGGCTCAGGGGTCATGGTAGGCACTGCTTGGGTGGTCTCGGCTTCATCCTTTGGAGCTGGACAGACACGTGTGGGGACAGTGAGGACCCTGGGTTCTCAGTTCAGCATAGAAAGGATGTGTCACAAAACACAAAGTGCCCAAGAACAGGACGATGCTGCCCACAGCGCCTCCAGCACAGCTCTTCATCCTCTCCTCCCCTGCGGCCTTTCCTATCCCTCACCCTGACCCCCCTGCCCTCGGCCCCCACCTCACCCCCACCTCCCAACACCCAGGCCACCTCTCCCTGTCCCTCCAGCACCGCCTCTCTTTTGAGCACAGCTCCACTTGGCCTCTGCACCCTTACCCTCCCTGCACTGGGGTCTCCTCGCCATCTTTTGTTCACTGGGCTTCTGTCTTTGCTCTGCAACAAGCTCAGCACACTCCTCCCGAGGCCAGAGCCTGGGGTGTGTTCCTGGACCCAGCCCCTCACCAGCTGCCAGCAGCCTCAGAGTTACCTCTCCCCCGAGTTTCCCTGGATACCTTCCTCCCCCACCTCCAGTCCCCGATCCTAGTTTGAGCCACTGTCACCTCTCACCAGGGCCACCAACTGCCTATTGGCTTCCCTGCCTCTAGGCTCCCTGCCACCCCATCCCCATCTTTAGCCCCCACAGATGAGCTTCACACAGGCACAGCTGCTGGGGCCATCTCAGCACAGACCTGGGCAATCACATCCTCATCCCTGGGAGACCCCAGGCCTCCTCTGCTCCCACACTTCAGGACTATCTATTCACTGCAAAGGACACCCCACTCAATCCTCAGTACTTCTCACACACCATGCTCTTTCTAGCCTCCTGGCCTTTGCACCACCTGTGCTGATCTGACACGCTTCACCTTCTCTCTAAAGCTGTCACCAAGCTAAGGCCTGCCTGGCCTCAGATCCTGACTGTCCCCTGAGTATCCACAGGTAGGGTGGTTTAGGTATTCCTGCCTGGCTCTGGGCTTCTTGTCACATGCTCACCCGCCTTTGCTTTCTTACTGGTCCACAGCCTGTCCCCCATGACGTTAGCCCCATTAGGACAGGAACTTTTCCCATTAGGACAGGAACCCTAACTCTGAGCCTAACCTCTGTGAGGATTCATGAATGCAAGAAAAATTCGCTTCAACAAATTCTAAGAGAGTTTCCAAATCTGTTACTGGGAGGAGCTTTGCTACAAAGGTGTTCTGTGATTTGCACACAAATATTCATAGCAGCATTATTCTTGATAGCTAAGAGGTGGAAGCAACCCAGATGTCCATCAATGGATGAAAGGATGAGCAAAGTGTGGTCTGTATGTGTAAAACGAAACATTATTCAGCCTGAAAAGGAAGGAAGTTCTGGCCAGGTGCAGTGGCTCTTGCCTATAATCCCAGCACTTTGGGAGGTCAAGGTGGGAGACTCGCTTGAGGCCAGGAGTTTGAGACCAGCCTGGGCAACATACCGAGACCCCCACTGCCACAGAAAATAAAATAAAAAGGAAATTCTGACTGATGCTACGACATAGATGAACCTTAAAGACATTGTATTTAATGAAATGAACCATTCAAAAAAGACAAATATTGTATGATTGCACTTATATGAGGTACCTAGAGTCAAATTCATAGAGACAGAGAGTAGAATGGTGTTGCCAGGGGCTGGGGCAAGGGGAGAATGGGAGTTCGTGTCTAGTGGGTAGGAAGTTTCAGTGTGGGAAGAGGAGTTCTGGAAGTGGAGGGTGACAGTCCACAGCAATGTGAGTGGACTTCATGCTGGACTGCAAACTAGAAAGCGATTAGAATGGCGAATTATGTCAAGTGTACTTTACTACAATAAAAAACAACAAAAAAAGTGTGTTCCTTGGACCAGTGGCATCAAGATAGATGAGAATCTTGTTAGAAATGGATGGTCGGCTGGGCGCCGTGGCTCACGCCTATGATCCCAGCACTTTGGGAGGCCGAGGAGGGCAGATCACGAGGTCAGGAGATTGAGACCATCCTGGCTAACACGGTGAAACCCATCTCTACTAAAAATATGAAAAAATTAGCTGGGCGTGGTGGCGCACGCCTGTAGTCCCAGTTACTCAGGAGGCTGAGGTAGGAGAATCACTTGAACCCAGGAGGCGGAGGTTCCAGTGAGCCGAGATTGAGCCACTGTACTCCAGCCTGGGTGACAAAGCGAGACTCTATCTCAAAAAAAAAAAAAAAGAAAGAAAGAAAAAGAAAGAAATGCATGGTCTCTTGCCCTAGGCCAAGCCTGCTGAATCCAAATCTGCTTTTTAACAAAAATCTCCAGGCATTTGGATACACAAAGGAAGGAATACTCTTCAGAGTATGTTTTCACGAAGACTGGAGAGACAGCAGTGTCTTCCAGGGCCATCTTCCCCACCTCGCCTCACTCACACTTACTCACCTGTCACACCCACAGCGGACACTGGGCCCACGCGCTGCCCCTCGTGGAGGCCGTACAGGTGCATCTTGTATTTGCACCCGGGCTCCAGGCCCCCCACGGTGACCTCGCTCTCCTCGCCCCTGACACGCACCACCTGGGGCCGCCCGTCCCTGTCCTTGTACTGCACAGTGAAGGAGTCGAAGCGGCCCTGGGGGATGGTCCAGGAGAGGCTCAGCGAGTCAGGGGAGGATCCTGTCACTGTCAGCTCCCCCAGGAGCGGCTCCTCAGGGGGCTCCGGGGCCTCCGTGCTGGGTTCTGTGGGGGCGGGAGTTTCTTCCTCTGCAGCTGAGAAGAGGGGACAGAGAAGGTGAGGCAGCTTCCCTGGGGGATGTCCTTGGGTCTTGTGAGGAAGGAGAGCAAAGCTGTGGCCATGAGTGGGGGTCCTGGGGTCAGCTTGGAGAGGCCCATCTTTGGAGCTGGGTGGTCTTGCTCAGTTTACAGTCAACACACATGACAAGCTCTGAGGTCAGTGCTGGGGAACTTGGGACAGCCACCAACAGAGCTCACAGGGCCCTTCTCCACCCAGGAAGATCTGTCAGTCCTCAGGGAAGTGGGGAAAGACAAAAAAGTACCATGGCTCAGCCAAGAGCAGAGGGGCTTCCTGGGCCAGTTCACCCATCACCAGAGAAAGGGAGACCCTCCCACAGGCCCCACTCTGGGGCTCCCATCGTACACTCACCTGTCACCCCAATGACAGAGATGGGGCCCACGCGCTGGCCACCGTGGAAGCCGTACAGGTTCATCTTGTACTTGTGGTCTGGCTCCAGGCCTGAGATGGTGACCCCGTCCTCGTGCCCCGGCACCCGCACCACCTTGGGCTGCCCATCCCCATTCCTGTACTGGACCAGGAAGTGGTCAAACTGGCCCTCGGGGACCATCCAGGACAGGCTGAGGGAGTCAGGGGTGGCATCTGTCACGGTCAGCTCCCCGAGGCGAGGCTTGTTGGGGGGCTCAGGGGTTGTGGTGGGCACTGCTTGGGTGGTCTCTGCTTCATCCTCTGGAGCTGGACAGACACGTGTGGGGAGAGTGAGGTCCCTGGGTTCTCAGTTCAGCATAGAAAGGATGTGTCACAAAACACAAAGTGCCCAAGAGCAGGACGATGCTGCCCACAGCGCCTCCAGCACAGCTCTTCATCCTCTCCTCTCCTGCGGCCTTTCCTATCCCTCACCCTGACCCCCCTGCCCTCAGCCCCCACCTCACCCCCACCTCCCAACACCCAGGCCACCTCTCCCTGTCCCTCCAGCACCGCCTCTCTTTTGAGCACAGCCCCACTCGGCCTCTGCACCCTTAGCCTCCCTGCACTGGTGTCTCCTCGCCATCTTTTGTTCACTGGGCTTCTGTCTTTGCTCCGCAACAAGCTCAGCACACTCCTCCCGAGGCCAGAGCTTGGGGTGTGTTCCTGGACCCAGCCCCTCACCAGCTGCCAGCAGCCTCAGAGTACCTCTCCCCCGAGTTTCCCTGGATACCTTCCTCCCCCACCTCCAGTCCCCAATCCTAGTTTGAGCCACTGTCACCTCTCACCAGGGCCACCAACTGCCTACTGGCCTCCCTGCCTCCAGGCTCCCTGCCACCCCATCCCCATCTTTAGCTCCCACGGATGAACTTCACACAGGCACAGCTGCTGGGGCCATCTCAGCACAGACCTGGGCAACCACATCCTCATCCCTGGGAGACCCCAGGCCTGGTGAGTGGTCCCCTCCTCTGCTCCCACACTTCAGGATGATCCACCAACTGCAAAGGACACCCCACTCAATCCTCAGTGTCTCTCACACACCATGCTCTTTCTAGCCTCCTGGCCTTTGCACTAGCTGTGATGATTTGACATGCTTCACTTCCTCTCCAAAGCTGTCATCAAGCTAAGGCCTGCCTGGCCTCAGGTCCTGGCTGTCCCCTGGGTACTTGTGGGCAGAGTGACTTCACTGTCCCTTCCCAATCCTGGCTTGGCTCCTGGGCTCCACATGCTCATCCTTCTTTGCTTACTTTCCGGTTTTCTGCTTGTGCCCACAATTGTGAGCCCCATGAAAACATGAACTTGTGTGTGTCACTTTCCAGCTTCCGCCTATGAAAGAAAAAGGCAGCCCTGACACCCGTGAGCTGCCCTTTCCCTCTGCCAGGCCACGGCTGCTTGGGGCTGGCCTGGCACAGTCTGGTCTTGGCGTGGTCCAGTTGAACAGACAATTTCATGGAACATCAACATCAGACTAGGCCATTTGTCAGTAGGATGGATCAAGACAAGAACAAGGCCAGTCTGTGATCATGTCTCAGTAAGGATGAACTCTAACATTTTCCAAAGCACAAAAATAACCAAACATCACCCATCCAGCTAATCTGAGTGATAGCTGCTTCTTTACCAATGGCAGCTTTGGCCTTGCTCTAGTTGACCTCCCCAAAGATAAGACTTAGTGAGACGCCCGGTAATAGGGTTATCCCTTCTTCCTGACAGCGTCTAATAAAGAGCAAAACCTTGCTTCCTTAAATGCTTTCCTAAAACACCAAACACAAGCCCAGTTCCTTAACAATCTCTTTCTAAAGCCTCTTCCTAAGTCACCCCACAGTCCTCCTGCACTGCATGGAGCATAATTCCATCCATTCAATTTTAGGTGAGTTTCTGGAGGTCGTTGGCCAGAGGACATTGATACCCTAAAATTACAGTGTCCGGATCAGGGCAAGGAATTCTTTGCTGAATGAACAAATTGGCCCATTGGTGAGAAAGGTCTGTTCCTATTCCTATTCCAATAGTGGGCTTCCAGAGTGTGCAGTCGACGCGCTGCCCCTCACTGCCTTCTGTCTTCCTTCACGGCCCCTAGTCAACTCCACAGAGAAAGCACACTACCAGGAATCAGGGACGCAGAAAAATTCTCTTCAACAGATTTCAAAAGAGGGTCCAATTCCTTTGTCGTGAAGAACTTTGCTACTCAAGGGGCGTGATCATGGGCCAGCAGCATCCGCATCATTTCTTGTTGGAAATGCAGAATCTCTGGCCCTAGCCCAAACCTGTTGAACCCCAATCTGCCTCTTAGCAAGATCCCCAAGCATGGAAACGTGCAAAAGAAGCCCGGCTGGTGAGAATATTTTTGTTTTCATGAAGTTGCAGAGAAAGCAACATCTTCTAGGGCCATCTTCCTCACTCACAAACACTCACCTGTCACACCCACGGTGGACACCGGGCCCACACGCCGCCCCTCGTGGAGGCCGTACAGGTGCATCTTGTATTTGCGCCCGGGCTCCAGGCCCCCCACGGTGACCTCGCTCTCCTCGCCCCTGACACGCATCACCTGGGGCCGCCCGTCCCTGTCCTTGTACTGCACGGTGAAGGAGTCGAAGTGGCCCTGGGGGATGGTCCAGGAGAGGCTCAGCGAGTCAGGGGAGGATCCTGTCACTGTCAGCTCCCCCAGGAGCGGCTCCTCAGGGGGCTCCGGGGCCTCAGTGCTGAGTTCCGTGGGGCTGGGGGTCTCTTCCTCTGCAGCTGAGAAAAGGAGATATAGAGAGGATGCCAGGTGCCTGGGGGATGTGCTCAGGTCTTCAAGGGAAGGAGGGAGAAACCATGGCCACTACTGGGTATGTGAGGTCATTTCAGAAAAGCCCATTCTTGGGGCTGGGTGGTCCTGCTCAACTGACAGCTAACACACATGACAAGTTCCAGGGTCAGCTGTGGGGGACCTGGGACAGTCACCAGCACAGCAGAACTCCTGATGGCCCCTCCCTGCTCAGGAGGAGCCAGGGGTCAGCCTCAGAGGAAGGCCCAAGGGGAGCCCCAGCCACAAGCAGGTCTGTGGTGCTGACCGGACCCCTGGCCCATTCCCCACCAGTCATCACCAAAGAGCAAGAGGGTGACCCTCCCACGGCTCCCACCCTGGGGCTGCCATCATCCACTCACCCGTCACCCCAATGACAGAGATGGGGCCCACGCGCTGGCCACCGTGGAAGCCGTACAGGTTCATCTTGTATTTATGGTCTGGCTCCAGGCCTGAGATGGTGACCCCGTCCTCGTGCCCCGGCACCCGCACCGCCTTGGGCTGCCCATCCCCATTCCTGTACTGGACCAGGAAGTGGTCAAACTGGCCCTCGGGAACCGTCCAGGACAGGCTGAGGGAGTCAGGGGTGGCATCTGTCATGGTCAGCTCCCCCAGGCGAGGCTTGATGGGGGGCTCAGGGGTCATGGTAGGCACTGCTTGGGTGGTCTCGGCTTCATCCTCTGGAGTTGGACAGACACGTGTGGGGACAGTGAGGTCCCTGGCTCCTCAGTTCAGCATAGAAAGGATGTGTCACAAAACACAAAGTGCCCAAGAGCAGGACGATGCTGCCCACAGCCCCTCCAGCACAGCTCTTCATCCTCTCCTCTCCTGCGGCCTTTCCTATCCCTCACCCTGACCCTCCTGCCCTCAGCCCCCACCTCACCCCCACCTCCCAACACCCAGGCCACCTCTCCCTGTCCCTCCAGCACCGCCTCTCTTTTGAGCACAGCCCCACTCGGCCTCTGCACCCCTGGCCTCCCAGCACTGGGGTCTCTTCGCCATCTTTTGTTCACTGGGCTTCTGTCTTTGCTCCGCAACAAGCTCAGCACACTCCTCCCGAGGCCAGAGCCTGGGGTGTGTTCCTGGATCCAGCTCCTCACCAGCTGCCAGCAGCCTCAGAGCATCTTTACCCTGAATTCCCCTGGATACCTTCCTACCCCACCTCCAGTCCCCGATCCTAGTTTGAGCCACTGTCACCTCTCACCAGGGCCACCAACTGCCTACTGGCCTCGCTGCCTCCAGGCTCCCTGCCACCCCATCCCCATCTTCAGCCCCCACGGATGAGCTTCACACAGGCACAGCTGCTGGGGCCATCTCAGCACAGACCTGGGCAACCACATCCTCATCCCTGGGAGACCCCAGGCCTGGTGAGTGGTCCCCTCCTCTGCTCCCACACTTCAGGATGAGATACACCGTAAAGGACACCCCACTCAATCCTCAGTGCCTCTCACGTGCCATGCTCTTTCTAGCCTCCTGGCCTTTGCACCAGCTGTGATTATCTGACACACTTCACCTTCTCTCTAAAGCTGTCACCAAGCTAAGGCATGCCTGGCCTCAGGTCCTGGCTGTCCCCTGGGTACCCATGGGCAGGGTGACTTAGGCGTCCCTGTCTGGTCCTGACCTGAGCCCTGGGCCTCCCTATCACATGCTCACCCGCCTTTGCTTCATTTGCTGGATTGCAGCCTGTCTCTCCATGACATGTCTTTCCATAATGTTGCTATATTCCTTTCACTGTGAGCCCCATCAAGACAGAAATATGTATAGGAAAATGGTAGAGAAGGGCACATTTTCTAGGGCTGTCTTCCAACCCTGCCCCACCCACACTCACTCACCTGTGACGCCCACGGCAGACACCGGGCCCAGGCGCCGCCCCTCGTGGAGGCCGTACAGGTGCATCTTGTACTTGCGCCCAGGCTCCAGGCCCCTCACAGTGACCTTGCTCTCCTGGCCCCCAACACGCACCGCCTGGGGCCGCCCATCCCTGTCCTTGTACTGCACGGTGAAGGAGTCAAAGCGGCCCTGGGGGACGGTCCAGGAAAGGCTCAGCGAGTCAGGGGAGGATCCTGTCACTGTCAGCTCCCCCAGGAGAGGCTCCTCGGGGGGCTCTGGGGCCTCTGTGCCTGGTTCTGTAGGGCTGGGGGTCTCGTCCACATCCTCTTGTGGGGCTGAAAGGTAATATAGGGGGATACAGAGTTTAAGGGTTTAAGGGCAACTTGCTTTGCTGGTGCTGTCAACAGAGGTCATACATCAAATGCGCCCCTCCAGAGCAGGCTGAGGGCTGGGGCAGCTTTGTGTTCGCCGTTCAGTGACTCTTGGAATAAGAGCCGGTGAGGTATCCCCGAGCCCCCGGCCTGTACTGCTGGCAGAGCTGCACTGTTAGAAACCTCCAGAAGGCAACTGAGACATAGTGTCAGGAGCCAAAGTAATTCTCATTTCCTTTGACCCAATAATCCCAGTTCTGGGCATCTGTCCTAAGAAAATTATTAAAGCAGGAAAAAGTTATAGCATGGAAGAACTCACGATGGGGTTATTCATGACAGCAGATGTGTCAGGAACACAAATGACCCGTAGAAGATGATTAATTTTGTTATAGTGCTTTCACCGCAACGCATCAAATAACCATTGAAACGATGATGAATGCTGGTTGTGTAGCCGTGAGGTGAATGATTACAATGTACTTGTGTACAAAAAAGGAAGTGCCAAGAACTTTATGAACACTGATTGCAACTTTAAAACACGCTCTGCATGCAAAATACAGGAAGGGAATGTGCACTACACACATTGTTATTAATGCCGGCAGCTGGGAGAGAAAGTAGGACTATGAGATTCTTGTTTTCTGTTTTTCAAGCTTTCCACATAATGTTGCTGTATTATTTTCACTAGAAAAACGTGGGCTAAAAAAGAAATTCTGGGCTGGGAGCAGTGGTTCACGCCTGTAATCCTAGCATTTTGGGAGGCCGAGGCGGGTGGATCACCTGAGGTTGGGAATTCGAGTCTAGCTTGGCCAATATCATGAAACCCGGTCTCTACTGAAAATACAAAAATTAGCCAGGCGTGGTGGCATGCACCTGTAATCCCAGCTACTCAGGAGGCTGAGGCAGGACAATCACTTGAACCTGGGAGGCAGAGGTTGCAGTGAGCTGAGATCACACCACTGCACTCCAGCCTGGGCAACAGAGTGAGACTCAGTCTCAAAAAAAAAAAAAAAAAAGAAAAAGAAAGAAAGAAATTCTGGGCTACAACAATTAATAATAGAGTGTGGGGTGGGGGTGGGGCAGCAATACACATAGAACAGGAGGGGCAGGGGTGGGTCCCTCAGCCTGTCCTCTGTCAGTTCTGTGGTTCCCCACAGTGGAGACAGGAACACAAAACTGAACGTGGACCAGGACAGCTTACCCCCGGAATGTGAATTTTTCTAATGTTCATTTTCCAATAATTTCCCTATTCCCCCTGTTTCCCAACACTCAGATGGTCCTCTGAACATGCATATGGAAATGAGGCCTCTCCCCCAGGAATCGGGGATGCCGATTGAGAGTGCTTCCTCTGTCTGGATGGCCTTTGGGAGATGAGCTCGCACCTCACTTGGTGCCACAGAGGTGGCGACCTGCCCTGCAAGAGACCGCCTCTCAGCAGGGCTGATTCTTCCCCATCGGTAGGAATTCTCGAAAAATACTCTAAGCCAGGCATAACAACCTGGCTGAGGATGACTTAGAAAAGGCAGCCTGACTGAGCATTTGGAATTCAATTAACCTCATGATCTCCACCCCTCCAATTTCTTATGGACTAGAAATTTTGAACTTCCTCATAATTAGAAATGAAATAAGTCTGGCTGGGCGCGGTGGCTCATGCCTGTAATCCCAGCACTTTGGGAGGCCGAGGCGGGCAGATCACCTGAGGTCAGGAGTTTGAGCAGCCTGACCAACATGGAGAAACTCCCTCTCTACTAAAAATACAAAATTAGCCAGATGTGGTGGCGCATGCCTGTAATCCCAGCTACTCGGGAGGCTGAGGCAGGAGAATCGCTTGAATCCAGGAGGCAGAGGTTGTAGTGAGCCGAGATCATGCCATTGCACTCCAGCCTGGGCGACAAGAGCGAAACTTCATCTCAAAAAAAAAAAAGAAGGAAATAAATGAAATAAGCCACAAGAGCGATAGAGGAGTAGGACAGATGGAGTGTAAAGAAGGAGAAGACATTATATATTTTCTCTTTTCCCTTTCCCTGATTGTAAAAGAAATGTTTGCCATTTAAGAAAATTTGGACTATGCAGAATAGAATAATACAGAAAAAAATGTGCTGGAATATTCTATTCTATCTAACAAATCAGGCAACCCGTGGGATGTGTTTCTTTCCAGTCTTCTTGCCATGCCTGTTACTTTCAAATGGTTGTGATTAGCATCCTTACAAAAATTTGGGCTCCTTTTTCTTCTTTTTTGAGACTGAGTTTGGCTGTATCTGCCAGGCTGGAGTGCAGTGGTGATCTCGGCTCACTGCAACCTCTGCCTCCCGGGTTCAAGCAATTCTCGTGCCTCCACCTCCCAAGTAACTGGGATTACAGGCATGTGCCACCATGCTTGGCTAATTTTTGTATTTTTAGTAGAGATGGGGTTTCACCATGTTGGCTAGACTGGTCTGGAACTCCTGACCTCAGGCGATCAGCCCGCCTCGGCCTCCCAAAGTGCTGGGATTACAGGCGTAAGCCACTGTGCCCAGCCTAGGCTCTCTTTTTTCAATGTAACATTATAAAGTAAGGGTCTTATGTTAAAACATTTCAGTGGCGGCATAATAGCTCTTTTTATAGATGTTGCCTAAATTATTTAGTCATCCCAACGTGGTTTGACGTTGGATTGTTCCTCTTGTGTGCATTTGTGTATGTGGTTATAACAAAGAATGCTGTTATTAAGATGGAAAGAAAGGAAAATTCTCGTAAGTCAGGCTTGGTGTGCGCCTGACATATTTCACTCTTGGAGGTTATCAGTGGTTGACCATTAGAGGGAGGCCACGCCAAAGTGAACAAGCAAACCGCTAGCATAGGCCACAGCCACAGGGCACAGAGGGAGGGCAGGACACAGGAGACAAGTCTGGACCCACAGGGCTTGGTGAAAGGGCACAGCAGTAAACCAGGTACCCATGAGGGAAAGGTGGTTACCCCGAGACTCCAAGCACTACTCACCAGTCACGCCCACGGTGGACACCGGGCCCACGCGCCGCCCCTCGTGGAGGCCGTACAGGTGCATCTTGTATTTGCGCCCAGGCTCCAGGCCCCCCACGGTGACCTCGCTCTCCTCGCCCCCAACACGCACCACCTGGGGCCGCCCGTCCCTGTCCTTGTACTGCACGGTGAAGGAGTCGAAGCGGCCCTGGGGGACGGTCCAGGAGAGGCTCAGCGAGTCAGGGGAGGATCCTGTCACTGTCAGCTCCCCCAGGAGCGGCTCCTCAGGGGGCTCCGGGGCCTCCATGCTGGGTTCTGTGGGGCTGGGGGTCTCTTCCTCTGCAGCTGAGAAAAAGGGACACAGAGAGGATGGCAGGGTCCCTGGGGGATGTGCTTACGTCGTGGGGAAAAGGAGGGAGAAGGCTATGACTAGGGGACATATGAAATAGCCAAGGCTATGACTAGGGGACCTGAGGTCAGTTCAGAGAGGCCCATTCTTGGGGTCCTGCTCAGCTGACAGCTAACACACATGACAAATTCCAGGGTCAGCTGTGGGGGACCTGGCACAGCCACCAGCACAGCAAAACTCCCAATGGCCCCTCCCTGCTCAGGGGGAGCCAGGGGTCAACCACACAAAAAGGTACAATGGGAGCCCCAGCCCCAGCCACAAGTAGGTCTGTGGTGCTGACCAGACCCGTCCCATTCCCCACCAGTCATCACCAAAGAGCAAGAGGGTGACCCTCCCATGGCTCCCACCCTGGGGCTCCCATCGTCCACTCACCTGTCACCCCGATGGCAGACACGGGGCCCACACGCTGGCCACCGTGGAAGCCGTACAGGTTCATCTTGTACTTGTTGTCTGGCTCCAGGCCGGAGATGGTGACCCTGTCCTCATGTCCTGGCACCCGTGTTGCCTTGGGCTGCCCATCCCCATTCTTGTACTGGACCAGGAAGTGGTCAAACTGTCCCTCGGGAACCGTCCAGGACAGGCTGAGGGAGTCAGGGGTCGCATCTGTCACGGTCAGCTCCTCCAGGCGAGGCTTGATGGGGGGTTCAGGGGTGGGAGGTTCTGTCGAGGCTGGGGCCATTTCTTCATCCTTTCCTGGGGCTGCATCAGAAAATAGAATGGGTGGGCATGCCTGGTGGGCCTCCTTTTAACCAAGGGACTCTGGGATTCTCTTAGACACACCAAGGGCCCACAGTCTGGATGCTGGTGCCCCAAGCTTAGAATATCATTTTTCTGCTTTGAATGTTCAGTTAACACCACACCTGTGGTGAAGTCATGATGCTCAGGTGGCATCCCTGTGATGCTCAGTGTGCAGGCCTGGGACCCTTAGGAGCTGCCAAGCAAATTTGTTTTGCAGGACAGAATTGATGCTTTATAAGAACACCAACCAGGGCCGGGTGTGGTGGCTCAGGCCTGTAATCTCAGCACTTTGGGAGGCCGAGGCGGGCGGATCATGAGGTCAGGAGATTGAGACCATCCTGGCTAACACTGTGAAACCCCGTCTTTACTAAAAATACAAAAAATTAGCCAGGCGTGTTGGCGGGCACCTGTAGTCCCAGCTACTCAGGAGGCTGAGGCAGGAGAATGGCATGAACCCAGGAGGCGGAGCTTGCGGTGAGCCAAGATCACGCCACTGCACTCCATCCTGGGAGACAGCGAGACTCCTTCTCAAGAAAAAAACAAACAAACAAAAACAAACAAACAAACAAAAAACAGCAATCAGGGCCAGGCGTGGTGGCTCAGGCCTGTAATCCCAGCACTTTGGGAGGCCGAGGCGGGAGGATCACCTGAGGTCAGGAGCTTGAGACCAGCCTGGCCAACATGGCGAAATCCTGTCTGTACTAAAAATACAAAAATTAGCCAGATGTGCTGGTGCATGCCTGTAATCCCAGCTACTCGGAAGGCTGAGGCAGGAGAACTGCTTGGACCTGGGAGGCAGAGGTTGCAATGAGCTGAGATCGCACCACGGCACTCCAGCCTGAGAGCCTGGGTGACAGAGTGAGACTCCATCTCAACATAAAGAAAAAAAAAAAAAAGAAAACAAAGAACACCAACCAAACACAACAGGCAAGTTGTATCAGGAGGTTCATCCACCTGGGCTTGGAAATTCCACCTAATCCTGAGCATTTTTAGAAACCAACTTAGATTTTATAGCTGAGGGTAGAGAGATGAGACCACATGAGGGCATCTTTGCAGCTGAGTTGTCTCTGGACCTGCAGTAGCTCTGCTAACTTACGGCAGAGAGAGCACCTCCAGTGATGCCAGTTCTTTTGGCCCGTGTGAAATCAATTGCTTTGTTTTCATTGATTTCTTTAATCTTTTCTGCTCTTCATAGGGTTTTATTCTGCCTTGATAGTGGTATTACAAATTCATCACATTTCATTTGTCTGTTCTTTTTGAGAACTGAGTCTTAAGCATCTAGGGGGTAACAGCTATAAAAGAGCTTACAAAAGCATCAAAGAGCCGAGTTACAGGGTAATGAAAGGAAAATGCCTTATTAAGTTGTGCACATGGCCAATATTTACAATTAAAGTAATAGTATCCATGTTAACAGGATTCAGTGTTGTTTTAAAAATAAATGGGTATTAATTTGGGAGCTTAGAGAACACATACAATTTTTCCCACTGAAATCAGTGATAATTATGAGAATTTGCCCTAAGCGGTTTTCAGGAACTACCTACCTTCCTCAGAAGGGAAAGACTGCAGTTATCTCTCATTGTGTGTGAGAGCCAAGCCACACTCCCACCCACCCTTCACGACAGGTATGGTTATTCCTTCTTTACAGATGAGGAAAAGGATGTACAGAGAGGTCGTGTGTCTGTTTTTTGTTTGCTTGTTTTGTTTTTTTGAGACAGGGTCTCACTCTGTCACACAGGCTGGAGTGCAGTGGCTCGATCTCGGCTCACTGCAACCTCCGCCTCCTGGGTTCAAGCGATTCTCCCGCCTTAGCCTCCCGAGTAGCTGGGACTACAGGCATGTACCACCACACCCAGCTAATTTTTGTATTTTTAGTAGAGATGGGGGTTTCATGATGTTGGCCAGGCTGGTCTCGAACTCCTGACCTCAAGTGATCTGCCCCCTTCGGCCTCCCAAAGTGCTGGGATTACAGGCATGAGCCACCGTGCCCAGACAGGTTGTGTGAGTCTCTTGAGGACACACAGCTCAAATGGGCTGAAGCTATGGTCAACCCCAGGTGTGCCTCAGTCTGTGTTATTTTCCTGGTCCCCCACCTCTTTGGGAACCCAAAAAGCCCATGTGTAACGGGCAGAAGACCTGGGGCAATACCAAAGTCTCGGAGTGAAGGCACCAGCAGAACCATTCCCAGGAGCTTGGGAGGCTTGGTCTCAGGGAAAGTAAAATAAAGCCACCAGATACTGACAATAAAAGGGAAACTGAGTCTAGTTCAGGGCAGGGCCCAGTGCCCTACTGCACACTCACCAGTTAAACCAACAGCAGACACGGGGCCCACGCGCTGGCCACCGTGGAAGCCGTACAGGTTCATCTTGTACTTGTGGTCTGGCTCCAGGCCCGAGATGGTGACCCCATCCTCGTGTCCCGGCACCCGCACCGCCTTGGGCTGCCCATCCCCATTCTTAAACTGGACCAAGAAATGGTCAAACTGGCCCTCGGGGACTGTCCAGGAGAGGCTGAGGGAGTCGGAGGTGATGTCTCTCACTGTCATCTGCCCTAGGCGCAGCTTTGCAAGAGGAGCATCAGGGGACTCCTCTTCGGGGGCTAGGAAGAGATAGAAACAGAATCTTTTCTCTTGCTGCAAGGAGGTGTTGAGGCCCCAGCTGTCTTGAATTCAGGTCAGAAGGTGGGCCCAGTCTGGCCCTAACTTAAGATCGATTTCTGATTATAATCATAATCAGATTTTGTGGCTTCCTTATGGTCCCTCAACCATGCCAGGCAGCCTCCTACCTCAGTACTTTTACAATGACTGTTCCCTCTACCTAAATGTTCTTTCCCCAGATATCTTCATGGCTCATCCCCACACTTCCTTTAAGTCTTTGTTCAAAAGCCACCTTCTTCTGTGGGCCTTCCCTGATTACTCTATTTAAAATTTCAGTTTTCTCAATTGCAATGTATCCTCCTTCTATAGACCTGATTTCAGCAACAAATTGGGAAACAACAATTATGAGACACTCGGGAGACTGTAGCACTACCTGGATACTTGATATCAAGGCATGATTGTTCACTTATCAAGGTATGCTAATTGTATTGTGGAATTTTATTATTTATTTATTTATTTTTTGACACAGAGTCTCACTCTGTCACCCAGGCTGGAGTGCAGTGGCGCGATCTTGGCTCACTGCAACCTCCACCTCCTGGGTGCAAGCAATTTCTTGTGCCTCAACCCCCGCCAAGTAGCTGGGACTACAGGCACGTGCCACCACGCTCCGCTTTTTTGTACTTTTTAAAATTTATTATTATTATTATTATTTTTAGTAGAGACGGGGTTTCACCATGTTGGTCAGGCTGGTCTTGAACTCTTTACCTCAAGTGATCCACCTGCCTTGGCCTCCCAAAGTGCTGGGATTACAAGCGTGAACCACCTCACCTGGCCATATTGTGGATTTTTTAAAAATAATTTTTTTAAAAAGAGATATACCTTTAAATATTTAGTGATGAAAGCATAGGATGTCTGTGGTTCGTTTTTAAAATACTGCAGTAGTATAACCACACAATGCAATACTGTTTGGCAATAAAAAGCAGTGTAGTGGCTGAGAGAGAGCAGGTGGCTCATGCCTGCTATCCCAGCACTTTGTAAGGCCCAGGCAGGAGGATTCCTTGAAGCCAGGAGTTTGATATCAGCCTGGGTAACACTGTGAGACCCCATCTCTACAAAAAATTTTTTTAAATTAGCTGAGTGTGGTGGCGAGCACCTGTGGCCCCAGCTACCTGGGGGGCTGAGATGGGAGGATGGCTTGAGCCCAGGAGTCTGGGGCTGCAGTGAGCTATGATCATGCCACTGCACTATAGCCTGGGCAATAGAGTGGGAATTTGTCTCAAAAAAAATCAATCAATCAATCAATCAATCAATCAATAGCAATGTAGTAAGTATAGTACTTCTACATGCTACATTGATGAACCTCAAAAACATTATGCTCAGTGAAAGAAGCTAGACACAAAAGAATACATATTGTTTGAGTCCATTTATACGAAATGTTCTGGAACAGCAATCTACAGAGAAAAAAGTAGATTAGTTATAAACTAGGGCTGAGGTAGGAATGGGTCTGGACCCAAGATTTCTTTTGGGGGTGATGGAAAAGTTCTAAAATTAGATCGTGGTGATGGCTGCACAAGTAGGTAAAGATACTAAAATCAGTAAGTTGTACACTAAAAACAAGTGTATTTTATGCCACATGAATTATATCTCCATAAAGGTGTTAATAAAGAAAACATTCAGGCCGGGTGTGGCGGCTCACGCCTGGAATCCTATCACTTTGGCTGAGGTGGGAGGATAACTTGAGCCCAGGAGTTCGAGACTGGCCTGGGCAACATGGCTAAACCCTGTCTCTACAAAAAATACAAAAAATTAGCTGGGCATGGTGGAGTGCACTTGTAGTCCCAGCTATTCGGGAGGCTGAAGTGGGAGGATCCCTTAAGCCCAGGAGGTTGAGGCTGCAGTGCAGTGAATTGTGACTGTGCCAGTACACTCTAGCCCAGGCGACAGAGTGAGACCTTGTCTAAAAAGAAAGAAAGAAAAGAAAAGAATGAAAGAAAGAAAGAAAGAGAAAGAAAGAAAGGAAGGAAGAAAGAAAGAAAGAAAGAAAGAAAGAAAGAAAGAAAGAAAGAAAACATTCTAGTGATTCTAGTGGAGGAAGTGGGTGGGGCAGAGATGAGCCAGACTGGCCAGAAGTCGATATTTGATTGAAGGAGGATGGCAGGGTCTTTGTACTATTCTTTCTGTTTATACATTTGAAATTTTATTTAACAAATACTTATTAATTTAATTAATTTGTATTTCAAAAATGTGTTCCAATCTCACAAAAAGAGTTATGTATAGAGTTCCAAGGAAAAGCGGAGAGCCACAAACCAGCCAGTGAATCACCTCCCAAGAGGCCTCAGTCCCTGGGGGCCTTTCCCATATGGCTCCGACACTTCTCCTGGATTTGCTCTCTCTGTCCCCAGATCACACCTGTCCTGAGCCTTTAGTGAACAGGGTGTATTACAGGTTTGAGGTCTTGGGGTTCTGGGTCCCTAGTGGAGGAGATGCTGGAGGCTGTACTTTGCTAAGACCCAACCCAGAGGGCTCTGCAGTGCACACTCACCCGTGACGCCCACAGCAGACACTGGGCCCACGCGCCGCCCCTCGTGGAGGCCGTACAGGTGCATCTTGTACTTGCGCCCAGGCTCCAGGCCCCCCACGGTGACTTCACTCTCCTCGCCCCCAACACGCACCACCTGGGGCCGCCCGTCCCTGTCCTTGTACTGCACGGTGAAGGAGTCGAAGCGGCCCTGGGGGACGGTCCAGGAGAGGCTCAGCGAGTCAGGGGAGGATCCTGTCACTGTTAGCTCCCCCAGGAGCGGCTCCTCAGCGGGCTCCGGGGCCTCCATGCTGGGTTCTGTGGGGCTGGGGGTCTCTTCCTCTGCAGCTGAGAAGGAGGAAGAGAGAGTGAGGGGGATGTCCTTGGGTACTGGGGAAAAGGAGGGAGAAGCCAAGGCTATGACTGGGGGACCCGAGGTCAGTTCAGAGAGGCCTACTCTTGGGGCTGGGTGGTCCTGCTCAGCTGACAGCTAACACACATGACAAGTTCCAGGGTCAGCTGTGGGGGACCTGGGACAGCCACCAGCACAGCAAAATTCCCGATGGCCCCTCTCTGTTCAGGAGGAGCCAGTGGTCAACCTCACAGGAAGGCCCAAGGGGAGCCCCAGCCCCAGCCACAAGCAGGTCTGTGGTGCTGACCAGACCCTTGTCCCATTCCCCACCAGTCATCACCAAAGAGCAAGAGGGTGACCCTCCCATGGCTCCCACCCTGGGGCTCCCATCATCCACTCACCTGTCACCCCGACGACAGACACAGGGCCCATGCGCTGGCCACCGTGGAAGCCGTACAGGTTCATCTTGTATTTATGGTCTGGCTCCAGGCCCGAGATGGTGACCCCTTCCTCGTGCCCTGGCACCCTCACTGCCTTGGGCTGCCCATCTCCATTCCTGTACTGGACCAGGAAGTGGTCAAACTGTCCCTCGGGAACTGTCCAGGACAGGCTGAGGGAGTCAGGGGTGGCATCTGTCACGGTCAGCTCCCCCAGGCGAGGCTTGATGGGGGGCTCGGGGGTTGCGGTGGGAGGTTCTGAAGGCTTCTCCTCCTCCGGGACTGGACAGAGACATGGAAAGAGAGGACTGAGGTGGGCAGGGTATCCGCGGGACTCTGCTGTCCTCTGGACTCTCCCAGCCATCTGAAAGGAGGCATAGTGGGCAGAGTTCTCACCTGTCAGGGCCTCGACATGGACAGGACCTACATGCTTCCCATCACTGAAACCATACAGGGTCACCAGGTATCTGTGGTCGGATTCCAGGCCAGAGAGGGTGATGTCATTCCGGTCACCTCCTATGCGGACCATTTGGAGTTGCCCGTCTCTATCTGTGTACTGGATTTCGAAGGAGTCAAATTCTCCCTCAGTCACCATCCAGGAGAGATGCAGGGTGTGTGACGTGGCCTCCTCCACTGTCAACTCCCCGAGGTGGGGCTCAGGCGCTGGAGGGGTCGGGGCCGTGGTCTCAGTTTCCGTTTCTTCCCTGCCGGCTGGTTCACAGAGACAGGTAGAGACAGATGGCTGGTGTGTCGCTGCACCCAGACTCTCAGGAGGAGTGAGGGAGGAGAGGGAGTGAGGGCAAGCAGTCAGCAATCGAAAGACCAGCTTTTGCTGCACATGGGTGAATTTCAAAAGCATTGTGCTAATTGCAAGAAATGAAACACAAGAGACTGCGTATTGTGATTCCATTACATGGAGAGTCAAAATGCTGTCTCCAGGATGATCGAAAGCAGACAGTGGTTGCTGGAGGCTGGGACTGGGGCAACTGACTCTAAAGGGGCACAAGGAAACTTTCTGGATCAATGGAAATGATATAAAATGGGAAGCTCAGAGATCTTATGGCTCAGTCAGACCAGGAGAGCCAGGCGGGAAGGAGGCACAGGTGTTCCAGCTGCCGCACACTCACCAGTAATGGCGACGGCCGAGATGGGGCCCACACGCTTGCCGTGGTGCAGCCCGTAGAGCAGCAGCTTGTACCTGTGGGCAGGGTCCAGGCCCGGCACGCTGACCTCCCTGAGGCTGCCCTCCACGGGCACCACCTGGGGCTGCCCGTCCCTGTCTTTGTACTGGACCACAAAGGAGTCAAACTGGCCCTCAGGGACTGTCCAGGAGAGGCCCACGGAGTTCTGGGTCACGGTGGTCACCTGCAGCTCCTCCCCCAGACGGGGTTTTGGGGGACGCTTTGTTCCAGTATCATCCATAGCACTCCGGGCTTCTGAGATGGAGACACGGAGAGGAAACGGCTGAGCTGTTTCTGGAAGACTGGGTGACCTCGACGGGCAGGATTGAGAGGTCTGGAGACAGGGCTTTGCGTGGCTGAGTCCTGCCGGGCTGTGCTAGGGGCTTGTGCAGGGACGTGGGGAGCTGGATCTGAGCCGAGTGGCTGGGGCCAAATAATGGTAATGGCAGCCACCACAAGTGACCGTCTGCTGCTTGGCCTGAGGGGAGCAGAGCAGGGACCTGCAGGGAATGCCCCTCACCCGTGGTGCCGTCGGCAGTGAGAGGGCCATGGCGCTTCTTGCCCAGGAGGCCATAGAGGAGGAATCTGTACTTGCGGCCGGCATCCAGAGGGGTGACAGTGACAGAGCGCTCATGGCCCTCCACGGGCACCACCTGGGGCCCGTCTTTGTCCTTGAACTGGACCACAAAAGAGTCGAACTGGCCCTCAGGAACCGTCCAGGAGAGGCGCAGTGAGTCTGGGGTGGGGTCTGTCACCCACAGCTCCCCAAGGCGGGGTGGGGCCCCTGGGCTGGCGTCACCTCGGGCAACTGGAGAGGAAAGGTTCTTGTGTTTATTTTTTCCAAAACGACTCCTTGACTGCCTCCCTCTGGGGCTGGAAAAACCCAGAACTGCCCAAATGCTCAGTGCTTCCCCAAAATATTTCCATCACCTCCCATCCTCACCACCATCTCCGTCTGGTCCATGCCTCTCTCCCCTTGACCCAAGTGGGGAGGGTCACCTGTCCTGAGTCACCTCCAGGAAAAGAGATTCCCTAGCTCCCTGCCTCATCTTACTCCCCTTTCTGTCCAGCCTCTTTCCGCCTCTCACAGACTGCTTCCCCAGCAGGGTGCAGCTTCTTACAGACTGGGTCTCTATCTCCTCTTACCCAGGAGCACACGATTTGGCCGTGATTTGGCCGGCCCCTGAGGAAAGGGGTGATTTGGCCGGCCCCGAGGAGCGCAGGATCCCTGATGGGGGCACTCGGCAGGTCAGGGAGGCAGGATGTTACGACACAGGTAGTTCTCACCCTTCTCCGTTCCCTTTCTTATTCTGCACCGGCTGGCCCGGGAGAACTAAGGCTCCCACTGGGCCTGGTGAAGGAGCGTGGGCTGCCTGTGAGAATGTTGAGGGGGATGATGCCGGGGAGCTCAGGCAGGGAAGGGATCTGGTGTCTGCCTGAGGAGCCATCCCAGGGCTTGAGAAGGAGCTGGCCTGCTGCCTTCCTGGACGGTGAGGACGCTGACGACATTGTTATTGCAAGTTTTCTGGCAATAGGGAGCCCCCAGGGGCAGGGGAGGGCTTGGACTGAACCCTCGGAAAGGGGCACAGCTGGGCTGGGCTCCTCTGGTTCCCAATTTCTGAGACTTCAGGAGGAGGGCAGAGAAGGAAGGGCAGCCTCTGTAGGAGGCACATATGGGCCCAGACAGGCCTGAGCTAGGAGGGTGAGAACCTGGGTGAGAGTCACAGGGGAGACAACAAAGACTCTCAGGAGGTGATGGATTCGCAAGGCAGGAAGGGTTCCTGGCTCCCCTCGCCCCTTCTCCCAGCACCCCCAGGCTCCCACATCCACCCTGCAGGAAGAGGCCTGTAGGGGCTTCCCTCATCCAACAAAAGTGGAAATTACGAGAAGAGAGGCAGAGTCAGCAGGGGACAGCAGACCCAGGAACTGGCCCCACTCTCCTGGTCCTCATCTGCTTTGCGGCTTTTCTTTCTTTTTTTTTTTTTTTTGGTCTTTTTTGAGACGGAGTCTGGCTCTATCACCCAGGCTGGAGTGCAGTGGCGCAATCTCAGCTCCCTGCAGCCTCCACCTCCTGGGTTCAAGTGATTCTTGTGCCTCAGACTCCCGAGTAGCTGGAATTACTAGCACCCATCACCACACCCAGCTAATTTTTGTCTTTTTAGTAGAGACAGGGTTTTGCCATGTTGGCCAGACTGGTCTCAAACTCCTGACCTGCCTTGGACTCCCAAAGTGCTGGGATTACAGGCATGAGTCACTGTGCTAGCCCCATGTGGCTTTTCAAATGAGACAGAGCAGGTGGACAAAGGGAAGACTCAGCAGAGGGAGTGAAGAGAAGGGTGGGAAGGCTGTGGCCTCAGGCTCAGCTGTGTAGGGGCCCATCTCACCCGTCTTTGCCTCCACAGAGACTGGGCTGCGTCGTTTCCCATCCTGGATCCCAAAGAGCAGGAACTTGTACTTGCGGGAGGGTTCCAGGTCAGGGATAGTGACCTCCCGCTGATCTGCAGCCACGGGCACCACCTGGGGCTGCCCGTCCCTGTCCTTGTACTGAACCACAAAGGAGTCGAATTCACCCTCAGGGACTGTCCATGAGAGGCCCACAGAGTCAGGGGTTATATCCGTCACTGTCAGCTCCCCTAGGCGTGGCTCCAGGGGAGGCTTGGAGGCCTCTGTGGCTGGGGCTGGTGGGAGGGGAGCTGGGATTTGGGAAGACAAAGAACATGGTTGAGATCTCTGAGGGGAGAACCCCTGGGCTTTGAGGGCCTCAGGGGGGCTGTGAACTGAGATGGGGAATAGTTACACCTTTACTTCCAGACCTCTAACTGAAATGCAGCATTTCTTTCCAAAACTAATATAGAAAACCCACCAGAGTAGAATTATTGTGACTTTGTTACCAATAGAAACCACAGATGTTTTCATGTCACCTTAGAGTTATTGCAGAAACTTTAAAATACCTTTTATATCCATCACTGCTTCTAAATTTTGTAGTTTAGTAAACGCGCCACCAAGTCCTGTTATTTAATGAACTAGTAAATAAGTCCAAGTATTACTAAATCGTAACTTTGGATTTTTAAGAAATATTTTGGGCCGGGTGCAGTGGCTCATGCCAGGCCGAGGCGGGTGGATCACCTGAGGTCAGGAGTTTGAGGCCAGCCTGGCCAACATGGCGAAACCCTGTTTCTACTAAAAATACAAAAAATTAGCTGGGTGTGGTGGCACGTGCCTGTAATCCCAGTTACTCGGGAGGCTGAGGCAGGAGAATTGCTTGAACTTGGGAAGCGGAGGTTGCAGTGAGCCGAGATCGCGCCATTGCACTCCAGCCTGGATGACAAGAGCAAAACTCCATCTCAAAAATAAAAAAGAAATATTTTGATAACTGTCTATAAATATAATGTTTCCTTTGTAATCCTATACAGCTTATTTTACAGATTTAAAAACATTGCCTTCAGGTGGGGTAGGGGTTTCACCAGATGCCACAGCACAACAATCATGGAGAACCTGTGCCCAGGAAGCCATGAGGGGCAGGAAGGAGCCCAGAGCAAGAGTGAGGCAGCCTCCTGGAGAGATGAAAACTCTCCAGGGCTGGGATGGAATGCAGTGCAGGCAGGTGGCAGAGGACTCCTGAGAAGGGACTCAGGATGTAAAGCACTTCGCCTCAACAAAAAAGGGCAGAAGCAGGAGGTGGCAGCTGTGTCCAAGTCACAGCAGGGTTGTAAAGAGAAGGGGTGGAAACAGCTGTGGGCAGTCGGAGAGGGGGAGAGAAAGTCTGTGGCTGGATTTAGGCCAAATGGAAATAAGACATTCCCCTGGGCGGGGGGCAGAGTGGAGATGGGGAAGGAGCTGGAGGGCTGAGAAGGCTCTAGCCCTGGGAGGAGTAAAGGGGTCAGGGAACAGAAAGACTGGCAGGGTCACCGAGCCAGGGCCTGAGGGGATCTAGCCCCTCAGTGAGGGTGCGGTGGTACCAAGGCAGGGCTGGAAGAAGGGCCATGGGGTGGGGGAGCTCTGGGTAACCAGAGATGAGGACTGAGTCCCCCCATTACTCACCCGTCACGATGACCACAGACAGGGGGCCCATGCGTTGCCCATCATGTAGTCCATACATGTTCATCTTATATTTTCTCTCAGGCTCCAGGTTGTAGACTGTGACCTCTCGCTGGTCTGCCGCCACCGGCACCACCTGGGGCTGCCCGTCCTTGTCCTTGTACTGGACTATGAAGGAGTCAAACTGGCCCTCGGGGACTGTCCAGGAGAGGCCCACAGAGTTGGGGGTCACATCTGTCACTGTCAGCTCTCCTAGGCGTGGCTCCAGCGGGGACTCAGTGGCTGGAGGGGTCTCTTCTTGTTGTGGGGCTGGGACAGAGATGGTAGGGGGCTGTTAGTAAAGAATCCCCCTTTTCTTATAGTAATGATGTCTAGTTATTTATTTTTTATTTTTTATTTTTGAGATGGAGTCTCGCTGTCACCCAGAGCAGTGGGCGACCTCGGCTCACTGCAGCCTCTGCCTCCCGGGTTCAAGCGATCCTCCTGCCTTAGCCTCCCAAGTAGCTGGGACTACAGGCGTGCGCCACCATGCCTGCCTAATTTTGTGTGTGTGTGTATTTTTAGTGGAGACGGCATTTGCCATGTTGGCCAGGCTGGTCTCAAACCCCTGACCTCAGGTGATCCACCTGCCTCAGCCCCCAAAGTGCTGGGATTACAGGTGTGAGCCACCACACCCAGCGATGTCTGTTGCATTTGTGGAACCCGCATGATGGTTTTGATGTAAAAGCGCATTGATCTGAACATCTGTCTGGTCAACAGTCCTTCACTAGGTCCCTGCTCGGTGTCTGAGGCTGCATTTGTTGGGGGAGAAGAGTATCAACCATCACTGACACCCTGGGAGAGCGCTGAAATTCCATCTATATGCCAATGACTCCAGATTTACACCCTCTGTCCAGACCTCCCCTGAACCCCAGACTAGTGTTCGTGCAACGTCTTCCTTGGAGGCCTACTTGTGTGTCAAACTCAACAAGTCCAAAACTGAGCCTCTGAGCTTCCTGACACCTGCTCCCGCCACAGCCTCCCCACCTCAGTAAGATTACAACTTTTTTTTTTTGAGACGGAGTTTCGCTGTTGTTGCTCAGGCTGGTGTGCGATGGCGCCCTCTCGGCTCACCGCAACCTACGCCTCCTGGGTTCAAGCGATTCTCCTGCCTTAGCCTCCTGAGTAGCTGGGATTACAGGCATGTGCCACCACGTCCGGCTAATTTTGTATTTTCAGTAGAGATGGGGTTTCTCCACGTTAGTCAGGTTGGTCTTGAACTCCCGACCTCAGGTGATCCGCCCGCCTCGGCCTCCCCAAGTGCTGGGATTACAGGCATGATCCTCCACGCCTGACCAGGATTACAACTTCATTCTTCCAGCTGCTCAGATCTAAACCGCCAGAGTCATCCCCGAGTCCTCTCTTAAACTCCACATCCGCCCTGTGGGTATCCGCCTGTTGTCACTACCTTCAGAGTCTGACCCCTCCTTGCCACCTCCAAGCACCACTGGCTCCTCCTGGATTATCACAACATTCTCTCAGGTCATCGCCTTCTGCCCTCACCCCCCTTTAGTCTGTTGGGTCTGCAGCCAGAAGGATCCTGTTAACACATTAGCCAGAGCTGGTTCCCGCAGTGGCTTCTACCTCACTCAGGGTGAAATCCAAGTCCTGCACTGGCCTCTGAGGTCCCATATTCATCTCTTAGATCATTCCCTATTGCCTGCCCTCCTCCAACTCCACCACAAAACATACTGCATTCCTCACTGTCTGCAGACATCTGGGGCTGCTTCTCGCCTGCCAGTCTCTGCATTTGCTCTTCCTTCTGTCTGGGATGCTCTTTCCCCAAAGGCCTAGGTGGCTGTCCTCTCACCTCCTTCAGGGCTTTCCTCAGACACTGCCCTCGCAGTGAGGCCCTTGCTGTCTCCCTACTAGGCTCTGCTTTTCCCCACCACTCATCACTGTCACATCCGGTGCCACTGACATATTTGTGCAATTTGTTGCCTGTCCCTCTCCACTAGAATGTGAGCTCCTCAGGCAGGAGCTCTGCTTTATTCACTGCTGTGTCCCAGTCCCTGGCACACAGTAGGTGCTCCACAGATGTCTGTAAAATAATGAGTGGTCTACAGGTCTGGGCTCAGGACCTGCAGATCCCCACCACTCCCGCATGAGGAAGCACTCATTAGTGAGCAAACTAGAAGGTGGTCCCAAGAGGCAAAATGGCAGAGAAGGTGGCTGGATGGGTGGGGCTCCCAAGAACTTGTTTCTCTGGCTTCCTCCGGAGGGCAAGACAAGGCTCCAAGCAAGTGACAACTGCTTAAAACAGGCTGGTGACCAGGCCTCGGGCAGACAGAAATGAGTCAGGCTGGGGAGGGCAGGCATGGAGGCAGCTGAGGTGGTGGGAGGGAGCAGAGTGACCACCAAGTATTGAACATCTACTATGTACAGGTACCAGGCTGGGCATTTTCTCTCATTTCATTTGCCTTCTAACCTTACTTGTTCCTGCAGCACCCATTCCCTGCTCCTTTTTGCCCTCTCTGCACTTCTTTCCATGAGGGAATGAAAATGTCCTTCACCATCAAGCTTTATTGCTGGTGGTTTGGATTAACTGGAAAGGTACAATTATAACGATTCATGACTCTGGCAGTCCCCATGCTGCATGTGGGACAGTCCTTTTCCAATTTAGAAGTGTGTCTAATGAGCTCCACGCACCTCTCCCCCTGGCAACTGCACTGTGTGTGCTGCCAGACACAGCCCCCAGCTTGGCGGACTCCAGCTGCTTCGTCCTTTTGCTGCTCTGATAATGCGCACTGATGCCCATTTCTTTCCTAAAGGGCCTCATCTATTTTATCCAGGACGTGTAAAATACATGTTTCAAAATATCCAGCATTAGAACATGGATATACAGGGATTCCCTCACGGGAAGGTCTGAGCAAAAGATGAATGAGCTGAGAAGATGCCAGACATGTTACATCACCACCTTTAACCGTGACAACAAGCTGGGCAGCGTTTACTCCCTCCTGAATATGAGGAAGCTGAGGTTCCAGGAGAGGAGGTAAGTTTTTCAAGATCATACAGCTGGCTGGGCACGGTGCCTCACGCCTGTAATCCCAGCACTTTGGGAGGCCAAGGCGGGTGGATCATCTGAGGTCAGAAGTTCGAGACCAGCCTGGCTAACATGGTGAAACCCTGTCTCTACTAAAAATACAAAAATTAGCCGGGTGTGGTGGTGGGCGCCTGTAATCCCAGCTACTTGGGGGGCTGAGGCAGGAGGACTGCTTGAACCTGGGAGCCAGAGGTTGCAGTGAGCTGAGATCATGCCACTGCACTCCAGCCTGGGTGACAAAGCAAGACTCTGTCTCAAAAAAATAATAATAAAATAAAAAAATAAAAATCATACAGCTGAGAACAGAGGAAGACAGGAAGGAACTCAGTTTGTCAGATTCCCAAACTCCATTTATCTCTACTGCACCGACTTGGTCAGTGCCTGACAGAGCCCATCCTTACCCCAGGGACCAGGCACAGGGCCTCACAGAGCCCAGTGTGGGTCCCTGGGACAGAGCGGCAGAGGGAGGGTCACTCCAGGAGCAGACTTGGCAGCATGTCTGGGCCTGGCACCAGCCTCCACCCTACAACCTCAGGCCCCAAGGACAGCCACTCAGGGTGGCTTTGCCGTCTCCCTCTTCTCAGGGCTGACTGAGGCAAAGAAAATAAATTGAGGGTGGAAGGTTCTGGAAATGAAATCAACCAAGTCATGATGAGGCTGAGCTTGGTGGAATTACAGAAACCATGTTCTGGAAAACTATCTATTTCTCTACTTTTAATTTTTTAATCTTTCCCCTTATAGTAAAAGTTATTTTTGAGAAAGGTGTGTCTTTGTTTCTGTGAGCAAAGGAAAAAAGAGATTCCCCTCACTGTGACTAAACCGGGCAGGTCAGCCCGAGGGTCCCAGAGGCACTGCTGTCCACTCAGCCTCTTGGGCTGAGGCCCTGGAGAGGAGGTGCCCAGGCTGGTCCTGTGTGGTGGTGGATGTGGCCCTGTAACCAGGCCTGAGAGAAAGGGTGGAAGGGATGTTCTTCTTTGCTGTAAAGTCACTCACTGGATGAGTATTAAAGAAAGCCTTGTGGCCGGGCGTGGTGGCTTATGCCTATAATCCCAGCACTTTGGAAGGCCAAGGCGGGTGGATCACTTGAGGTCAAGAGTTTGAGACCAGCCTGGCTGACATGGTAAAACCCCATCTCTATTAAAAATACAAAAATTAGCCAGGTGTGGTGGTGCATGCCTGTAATCCCAGCTACTCGGGAGGCTGAGGCAGGAGAATCACTTGAACCTGGGAGGCAAAGGTTGCAGTGAGCCAAGATTGCACCACTGCATTCCAGCCTGGGCAACAGAGCTCAAAAAACAGAAAGAAAGGAAAAAAAGAAAGAAAGAGAGAGAGAGAGACAGAAAGAAAGAGAAAGAAAGAAAGAAAGAAAGAAAGAAAGAAAGAAAGAAAGAAAGAAAGAAAGAAAGAAAAAGAGAGAAAGAAGAAAGAGAAAGCTTTGTGGTCAGGCGTGGTGGCTCACGCCTGTAATACCAGAACTTTGGGAGGCCGAGGCAGGTGGCTCACTTGAGGATCTGGAGTTTGAGACCAGCCTGGCCAACACGGTGAACCCCGTCTCTACTAAAAATACAAAAAAGTAACCAGGTGTGGTGGCACGCATCTGTAGTCCCAGCTATTTGGGAGGCTGAGGCAGGAGAATCACTTGAACTTGGGAGGCAGAGGTTGCAGTGAGCTGAGATCGCACCACTGCACTCCAGGCTGGGCAACAGAGTGAGACTCTGTCTCAAAAAAAAAAAAAAAAAAAAAAAAGACAAGAAAGAAAAGAAAGCTTGCTTCAAGCTGTACTGATGAAGAGGCCAATGTCTCACGCGCATTCTCCCATCCAAGTACTAACCAGACCTGACCCTGCTTAGCTTCTGAGATCAGAGGAGATGATAGGACACCTTCAGGGTGGTATGGCCTTAGATTCATGTGCATTCTGACCAAGTAACTGAACCAGCCAAAGGGGACAAAGCAGACCTCAGAGTAAGAATATTTATAACAATTCTCACAGCAGACACTGGCAGCATATTTACTTTTGCCAGGCCCATTCTTGATGCTTTACATCTGTTAACTCACTTAACCCTCACAATAACTCTGTGAGGTAGGTGTCCCCATTTTACGGACAAGGAAACAGAGGTGCAGAAAGTTTAAAACTTGCTCAGGGCCATGAAAGCTGGTGGTACGCCAGTCCCCAGTGACATGCTCTTTCTAGGTCTTCCCCTGGCAGGCAGCCTCAAGGTTCCACTGGAGCAAGGAGAGCAACTGGCTACAGGGAAGCTGGGAGCCAGCAGTGGGAGGGAACCAAAGCAGGCCCCTGCCCCTCACTCACCTGTCACGCCCACGGCGGACACCGGGCCCACGCGCTGCCCCTCGTGGAGGCCGTACAGGTGCATCTTGTACTTGTGCCCGGGCTCTAGGCCTCCCACGGTGACCTCACTCTCCTTGCCCCCAACACGCACCGCCCGGGGCCGCCCATCCCTGTCCTTGTACTGCACGGTGAAAGAGTCGAAGCTGCCCTGGGGGACGGTCCAGAAGAGGCTCAGCGAATCAGGGGAGGATCCTGTCACTGTCAGCTCCCCCAGGAGCGGCTCCTCGGGGGACTCCGGGGCCTCCGTGCCCAGTTCTGTGGGGCTGGGGGTCTCGTCCACATCCTCCTGAGGAGCTGAGAGAAGAGATAGAGGCATAAAGGGCTGCTGGCTTTGCTGCTGCTGCCCACAGATGACAGCCATGGAAATGCCCTTACGCTGTGGGCTCAGGGGCTCTGTAGCCTTTGTATTTGCCATTCGGTCACTCACGGATGGAGAAGGCTGAGACAGCCCTTGCCCCATCCTGCTCTGGTGGGTTCTGTGGGGGTGAGGGGTCTCCCTTCGTGTCTGAGAAAGGAGCTGAGATGGGAAGAGAGGAAGCCTCTGAGGGTTCTTCCAAACCACGTTCACTGACAGTGCTGACCTCAGACAGTGAGGAGGGCAGTGAGGCCTCTTCCTACCTGTGCCCTCCCCAGGGCACTCTGGCTGCCCCACCCCTCATATGAGGATCTGACCATGGAATGTGCTCTTGCTGTGGCCTCCCCAGGCAGCCCTGCCCCTCCCTCCCCTTTAACCCCAAGGAATGAATTGCTAAGGCAGGGCTCCAGGCATGAGTGGGAGAAAAATTCTGGGGTGAGTGGGATCCAAGGAGAGACATGTCCTTCCCTGGCTGGCTCTGGAATCACAGCCCTGTGGGCACCTACCCGCCCCCTACAGTTAGGTCTCTGCTGAGGCTCCATGGAGTGGGGAGACTGTGGCACAAGGGAAACCAGCCCTTCTGTGACCTGCTACATGGGGGACTACTTTGGGATAGCAGATTGAGGAAAGAATTGGCAAGAATGACAACCCAGAGGAAGGGAGGGAGGTGGGGAGCAAAAAAGATTACTGGGAAGTGAGAGAGTCAGGGAGAAATTGCAGCTCACTCTGAAAATGCTTTGCTGCTCCAAGCACTATTCTAAGTGTGTGGGCTTTTTTTGTTTTTGTTTTTGTTTTTTTTTTGAGATGGAGTCTCACTCTGTCGCCCAGGCTGGAATGCAGTGGCGCGATCTCGGCTCACTGCAAGCTCCGCCTCCCGGGTTCACGCCATTCTCCTGCCTCATCCTCTTGAGTAGCTGGGACTACAGGCACCTGCCACCATGCCTGGCTAATTTTTTGTATTTTTAGTGGAGACACGGTTTCACCGTGTTAGCCAGGATGGTCTCGATCTCCTGACCTCGTGATCCACCCGCCTTGGCCTCCCAAAATGCTGGGATTACAGGCATGAGCCACTGTGCCTGGCCTTTCTAAGTGTTATACATATATTAACTCATGTAATTCCAACAGCTCTGTGCAGAGGGACTGAAATCCAGCCACCTGACAGAAGGGAAAGCTGAGGCACAGAGAGGTTAAGCAATTTGCACAAGGTCCTACAGGAAGTAAGTTGCAAGGCTGGTAGTGAGACTCGGGCAGTTGGCTCCGGAGTCTTTGCTCCTAACCACTATCCACACTATCTCTCATCAAATAATTCACAGGCCAGGGGAATGGCACTGGACAGGGAAAGGCTGGGGACATGGAGGAACAGGCTGGGATGCTGGGCTGAACACAATCCCTTTGCCCTGTTCCAAGGGGGCTGGGAGTCAAGGAGTCGGGAGCTGAGAGGAGTCCTCTTCATGCTGCAAAAAGGCTAGAGAAACGTGGTGCTCTTGTCACTTGGATCTGCCACCTCTGAACACAGCAGAAATGGCAGGAGGTTGTGGGCAGCAGGTGACAGAAGCCCAGAAGTGACCATGGCCCAAACCAGACCATGAAGGAGCCCAGTAAAAACTGAGGGGTGAGAACACAGTGACCGAATGGTGAGGACATCTGTGGGGAGGACAGCCCCAGGTGGAAGGATGAGTCCAGGTGTTTGGAATGGGGGAAAATAGGACCTGCCCTTGGAGATGAAGAAGTGAGGCTGAGGAAGAGATGAGGAGGTGGAGGCTGGATGAGGGGGACCTGGCATGCAGAGGACAGGAGAGCAGTGCGGGAGGAAGTGGGTGGAGGCTTTGGCAAAATGAGCTGAGAAGGCGAAGATGGAGGGAGGCTGGAAGGAGCCCCAGCCAAGTCCCGCTCACAGGATGGGGCTAGCAGGGGAGGGAGGCCTGGCAGCCATGACTCACCAGTCTTGGCCACCACAGACTCGGGCCCCACACGCTGCCTGCCACGAAGCCCGTAGAGGTTCATCTTATACTTCCGGTCGGGATCCAGGCCGGGGACAGTAACCTCATTCTCATCCCCCGCAACAGGCACTGCCTGGGGCTGCCCCTGTGCATCCTTGTACTGGACCATGAATGAGTCGAAGGGGCCCTGGGCCACTGTCCATGAGAGACGCAAGGAGTCTGGGGTCACGCCGGTCACTGTCAGTTCCCCCAGGAGGGGCTGCTCCAGGAACTCAGGGTGGGGGGGCTCCTCTTTCCTCTCTGGAGCTGTAAACAAGGAGATCCAGCCAGGTGCTGAACTGGCAGCCTGGGACTGGGGCTTGGGGTTTCGACGGGATGTCACACCTATGGGGGGTGGGGGGTCACTAGTCCATTAATTCGAGTGCTAAACTTCTGGGAAGCCTGACACAGCCAGGGTATGACACACCTTCTGGGCCACGGGGAGCTGCTGCTTGGGATGGAAGGGGCCCAGCAGTGCGGGGGAGTCTGGCTGCCCCTCAGCCCTGGAGTGGGGCCGGGAAGCTGGAGTCAGCTGTCTTGCTGGGGGACCCCAGCTGGTTTTGGGCTGAAGGGAAGTGTGCATGGGGCTGAGAAGGGGTCACATGGGGGCTGAGGTGGCTGCTACTCACCAGTGGTGCCATCGGCCGTGAGGGGGCCATACCGCTTCTTGTTCGCAATTCCAAACAGAGTGAATCTGTACTTGTGGTCAGGGTCCAGTGAGGAGACAACAAATGAACGCTCGGGCCCTTCCACAGGTACCACCTGGGGCCGTCCATCCCTGTCCCTGTACTGGACCATGAAGGTGTCAAACTGGCCCTCAGGGACAGTCCAGGAGAGGTGCAGTGAATCTGGGGTAGGGTCTGTCACCCACAGGTTTCCCAGGCGGGGTGGAGTCCCTGGACTTGGGTCACTCTGAGGCACTAGGAAGAGTGGGTAGAGAGAAGGGAGAGACTTAGGTCCAAGGAGAATGGGGAAGCCAAATCCCACATAGGAATGCTGTGTGAGGCTGTGCAGGTTGTTCACTGCACAAAAGTGCATTTGCTGAGGGAGTACAGAGGGACTGAAATCCAGCCAGCACTCTGCTTGCCGAGCTGTGTGCCCTGGTGAGGAGTGGTGTCCACTTTAAGGAATGGGTGCCTTCTTTCAAACGGCATGGAAGCACTGCGTGGACTAGTGTGGCTCTGCCTCCAACCACAAACCAGAGCAGCAGGGAGCTTCAGAAAGAGGGGAGCCCAGCCAGGCCCTTTCACATCTCCATAGCCAGGGAAATCTTCCCAGTACAACCTCCACTGCTTCCAAGCCTAACTACTAGCTGGCTTCTTCTCCAAGAGAGGAGAGCACAATCCTTGAAGCGTTTTAATGTGGGACAGCCTCCCTCATCTATGCTGCAGGCCTCTCCTCCTCTTTGGGAACTTTGACCCATGGATGGACTCCCTCGCCTGCAGCACTGACCCTTCACTCCCCAGCAGCTGTGCCATCAGCATTTCAACAAGCTACTGTCACACCCCTCCTCACCCCCACTCTGTGTGCATCTCTCTCTAGCCTCCATCTTCCCTCTTTGCTCTCATTCCCAGCCCAGATTCCAGAAAGTGATGTCTACACTGATTGCAGCCATGTCCTCACCTCCACCACCCTCCCGATCCAGCTCCACCCCTCCACCAGGCAGCAGCTCTCATGCAGGCCAGGGGTGGCCTTGCCATTGCTAAATTCTGTGGACGCTCCGTAGCCCTTGAATCACTGTTCCGGAATCTGACAAGTCCAACCGCACCCTCCTTCCTGGAGTCCAGACAGCACCCTCCCTGGTTCTGCCCCTCCCTGCAAGTCACTCCGCAAGCTACCCTGTGGGCTCTTCTTCCTCTGCCTCCGCTGTGAGTGTAGGCTGTCGACAGGGTTCCAGTGGCCCTGTCTCTTCCCCAACCCCACACGACTACTCTGGTGCCTCAATTCTCCTGACCTATAAAGTAGGCATGCCTCCCAGGTGTGCTTTATGGGGTGTGATGATCCACTTAGAGAACATCTTGATCACAACTGACTCTCAATAAATGCACAAAAGGTATTTATGTAAGTGTCTCTTAGATATTGATCTAAGTTTATCTAAGGCGTTGTTCCCCACCTCTGCTGCTCCCTGCCTCAGGGAATGGGACTGTCTCATCCAGAACCCTGGGGGCTGCCTGGTACACCTTGCTTTCCTTCGCCTCCCCCATCCAGCCCCACTGCCACCATCCCAGCTGACCCATCATCATTTTTCTTTTTTTTGAGACAGGGTGTTGCTCTGTGCAGAGTGTGGATAGCACCCAGGCTGGAGTACAGTGGCACAATCATGGCTCTCTGCAGCCTCGGTCTCCTGGGCTCAAGCGATCCTCCCACCTCAAGCCTCTCAAGTAGCTGGGACTACAGGCACGCACCACCACGCCTGGCTAATATCTTTTGTTATAGTAGAGATGGGGGGTCTCACTATGTTGCCAGGTTGGTCTCAAACTCCTAGCCTCAAGCGATCCTCCTGCCTTGGCCTCCCAAGGTGCTGGGATTATAGGCAGGATCAACCCTGCTAGCCTTTACCAGCTCTTAACTCACTTCTCCAGCTAGTCTCAGCAGCCACCCGGTTATTTGCAAGATAAATATCTAGTCTCATCACTCTCCCACTTTACCCTTCAGAGGCCCTCTAGGGGCCTTCGAATGAGGCCCAAGCCCCTCAGCACAGCACAGGAAGCCCTGAGACCAGGCCCTTTGGCACCCCCCACATGCCCTGTTCTCCAGCCAGAGGAAACTGTAACAGTGATTCTCTTACTGGCCATGCTCTCCCCACCTTACTCACCGTGACTCCCTCAGGCTGCACTGAGCTTCTCAAACTCTTTGCCTGCCCCACCACTACTTTCCCTTCAGAATTCAGCTCATGCACCACTGCCTCCCGGAGCTCCCAAAGCAGGTTCCCAAAGCACTGAGAAAACCTCTTCAGGGCAGTACAGAGGGCAGGGTGTTACTGCTGTCACTCACAGATCTTGGCTTCAGCCACCAGCGGACCATGCCTCTTCTTGCCAACAAACCCATACAGGACAAATTTGTACTTGCGGCCAGGATCCAGGGAGGTGATGACGGCCGAGCGCTGGGGTCCTTCCACGGGCACCACCTGGGGCTGCCCGTCCCTGTCTTTGTACTGGATCACGAAGGAGTCAAACTCGCCCTCGGGGACCGTCCAGCGCAGGAGCAAGGAGTCGGAGGTCCTGTCTGTCACCGTCAGCTCACCCAGGCGTGGTGGGCCTGAGGACTTCCCAGGCTTCTCCTCATCCTTGTCTGGAGTTTGAGAGGCAAAAGCAAAGCATAGTGGACTCAACCGTTCTCTTGTCTGTGTCTCCTTCCCTCTCCCCTGCCCACCTCACTCCATCCTGGATAGATCCCTCCCCGGAAGACTCTATCTGCCCACCCCTCAGTGACTAGCTCTTCTGGAAGAGGGGCATTTCCCTCTCAATCTCTGCTTCTTCCCTTGTGACAGTTTCTCCATCCCTCACAAGGTCTTGGTCTCTCTGCACACCAGGATCTTTGCGGGGGTTTCAGGTCCCCCTGGTTCTGAATGAGAGTTTCAAGCCTCCCTGCTGCAGCATCAGAGCAGTCTGAAAGCTCCTCTGCCCACCTGAGCTGCTGTCTCTCTTACCACCCTCTCTTCCAGTGGTGAGCTTGACCTGGAGCTGGGGGATGAGTCAGCCACCCTGGTCCCACAGAGAGGAACAAAGAGGGGATGTGAAAGCCAGGTACCCCAGGACCTGTCTTTCACTGGTCCTGCAAACCTCATCCATGTCTGAAGTCCTGATGGCTGTGGAGCCCCCTGCCCCAAGGAGCCTTCACCCCCAGCAGAAACTGGCTGATGGGACCATGGACTGCTGTCCACTGCAAACCAGGCTCCCAGGGACGAGGTATTGGGGGCTGAGGGTCAGTGTCCAGAGGCCTTCCCATGCCCACCCTGAAAGATTTATAGGGCAGGGAAGGGCAGAGGAGCAACCGAAGAGTGGGGGCAGGGGACAGGGCAAGGAAAGCTGCAGGTGGAGGGCCAGGGACCTTCAGCCTCTCTCCTGGAATCTCTGTCCCACCCTCGGCCTTTTTACCTCTGCCTCTTTCCCCTCTCCCCACCCATCCTTATCATTGTTTTAAGATCCCCCTCGATCCATCTTCCTGCTGAACCTGCAATTCCTTTTCTCTCCTTTTCTCCTCTATCCAGCCCCAAACATCAGCCCTGCCCTTCACTGGCCCCTCAATATCCATCCTACCTCTGAAGTCCCAATAACCCCAGCTCCTCCCCCAATCTCAGGATATTGATCTGAGCAGAGTCCAAGATGTACCCATAATGCCTTGGTAGATGATGGGGTCAGAGGGCTTGCCCCCAGGAGGGACCCCATGAAGTGACAGCTCATACGGGGTTCCAGGAGGGGGTGGAGGCACCAGAGCCTGGCGGACGTCCCCTGGCAGCACTTCCTCATGTGCCCCCGGCCCCTCGGGCACCCGCATGCGCAGTTGGAAGTAGGCAAAGGTGTCAGGCTGGGCGGTCCAGACCACACGGAGGCGCCCTGTCTCATCTCTGCCCAGCACCCTCAACTCTCCCAGCTCCTGGGGGCGCTGCTGCAGGAGAGGAGCCTGGGCCCCTTGCGTCGTCGAGGGGCCTGAGGGAGGAGGCTCATCGGTAGTCCCCAAGAGGCCCAAGGGTGAGGACCCTGGGAAGGGGCAGGGTGAGAAAAAGAGGAGAGTCCAGTATGAGAACTAGAAAGGAATCCCCAGTCCCCAGGTTCTGCCCTCCAGCCTCTAAGAGCCTTGTTCTACTTCTACTTCTGGTTCCCTCACCTGGGCCACTCCCTCCTCCCAAAGGTCAGCCAATCCTCCAAACACCCCCATCTACCACATTCCTGAGCAGACGGGCCTGTGCTTCAGGCAGGTAATAGGTAAAATAAAGCCTGCTATCCTTCACCCCACAAGGCTTCCATGACCTCCAGCCCCCGGAGACTTCCATGTCCCTCCCCACATACATCCCCCCCACTGGGTGGTGGTCAGGTGGCTTCCATTAGTGCTGCAGTGAGAAGCCTGGAAGAAAGACAGTGGTGTTAGAGAGGGAGGATGCAAGAGGAGAGTGGGCAGTGGGAAGAGAGAGAGGGTGTGGGGGTGGACATCCAGGTCAGGTGGCATCTGGGCCCTATGGGGGAAGAAGAGGTCCACCACCCTCCCCACAGCAGCCACAGGGTGCCCTTTCCCCAAGCCCAGACATCGTTCCTGTGGGAGAGACCAGCATAAAGTGAGCCAGGGGGTCTGAAAAGCCAGCTTAAGAAGCAGTGGTTTCACCTCCCCAATATACAGTTGCTGCCTGATGGCACCCAGGCCACCCCCACGCAGTTCTGATGTGTCCCTTCAAGGTCAAGGCCAAATTGTGGAAAACAGTAACCACTAACCACAGTCTTCAGCCACTCTCACCACAGTGAGTCAGAACGGGAATCACTGTTTTCAATTCCCAGCCCACTCAAACTGCTCCAGTGAATCTTTGCAGGTGCCCCAACCACATCACCCTCTATTGCCTAAAATAACAATCCTGGAAGTGTCCCGGGAAACCCCAAAGAAGGCGCTGCCTTGACCTTAGGCATCCACAGGATGGATGCCAGGACCCTGGGGTGGGGACGTCTTCTAGGGACAATGGACTCGTGCTTTGTCCTGGGGGCCCCCTGGAGCCCCGGCCAGGTAGGGCCTGAAGGTAGAAGGGGGCAGTGGGGGGTGGCAGTGGGAGGAATTCATGAATGCAGGCTCCAACGGCAGGTGAGGCTGGACAAGGGATAGGTGTCCCGTGGCCCCAGCCCACACTACCTGTGGTGGTGATGAAGGCGTAGGACTTGGAGGTCTGCCCCGCCCGCACCCCGTGGACCTCCACGTGGTAGGTGGTGCCGGGCCTGAGGTCGGGCAGGCTGACGGTGCGCGTGGTGCCCGGC
Organism: Homo sapiens; assembly: GCF_000001405.40. NCBI lineage: Eukaryota > Metazoa > Chordata > Mammalia > Primates > Hominidae > Homo > Homo sapiens. The sequence continues at coordinate 3,328,767 of NT_167245.2, forward strand.
ACAGTCAGCTCACCGCCGGGGCCCTCTGCAGGCGGCTGAGGCCGCCAGCGCAGCACCACGCGCTCGAACTGGCCGCGGAGCCCGTCGAGAGACACGAGAAGCGCGCCATCGGCGGAACTGCCCAGCACCTCTGGCTTGGGGTGGCGGGACGCAGCCACCCGGTCGACGCCTTCAGGCGAGAGGCCGTAGATTCCCTGGTTGGAGTCCCGTTTCCTGGTGCCGGGATCAGGGCTGGCGGTGGGGCGGGGGTGGCGGGGCGGGGGTGCGGGGGAGCCGGCTGGGGCGGCGGCCAACAGACGCCGCTGCAAGTATTCATGGATGTGGCGCGCCACCGACGTGTAAGTCTGGTTGGCCCGCAGTGGGTAGCCGTGAGCCCGCAGGTGGCGCTCCAGGTCCTGCACCGTGCCGCGGAAACGGCTCAGCTCGGCCGTCAGGTTGCCCCAAGGCCGCCGTGGGGGCTGGGACAGGCTTGGCCTGGGCGGGGACTCCTCCTCCCTTTCCTCTGCTGGCCTCGAGGGCCAAGGGGGCCGTGGGGGCCGCGGGGCTGGGGCTGGCCGGGGCCGGGACTTGGGGGGCGGGGCTGGGGGGCGCACCTCCGGGTAACTGTAGTGGCCTGGTGCTGCCAGGGGCAAAAAAGGGGAGAACAGGTCAGTGGCAGCTCCCTCCCGGCACTCCTTCCCGCGGCAGCCCCTCCCTCGATCCCTCCCACCAGAGCCAGAGGCCTCTTCCCTGTGCCCCAGCCCCACCTGGAAAGAGAACGGAGGGAAATCGGTCAGTGTCCCGCAGCCCCCCCATTCCCCTCCAAGCCCACCACTGTTGGTGCCCTAGAAAGAAGAGAGAAGCCCGTGGGTGGGGCCCTGTAGCTGAAGGAGAGAAAGGGGAGTCGGGGAAGAGAACATGAGCTACAGCGAGGTGGGTGTCCCCCTGTCACAGGAAAAGAAAAATATCCAGGTATCTGTTAAGAAACCTCGAGGTTTAGTGGAAAATCACTGCTGTGAGACCCACCTCCCAGCAATCCCAATCCAAAAGTCAACAGGACTGATGATCTCTAATCTGCCTAATTCCAGTCCCACAAGATCTATCAGCACAAGGCCTGTCCCGGTACCTAAATTTAAAAAAGAACCTCCCTTAACTGACTGGATCAGGCAGCATCTCCTATTCACTTCTCTCCCTGGGGCCATTCCTTTCATAGGCTAACCTGTAACCTTCCTACAGGACTCCAGGCATCTGAGGGCTCTGTCTCCCCAGTGGCCTCAGGACAGAGCAAGGCCCCCAGCAGGTGCCTCGAGACTGCCACACACCTGCCAGAAGCATTCAGAGGAGTCTGTGAGCCCTGAGCCTGGGCTCCTGAGGAGGAGGATCCAAGGCTGGGAAACCAGGGCCCTTCCCTAACCTCTGGCCAGCCATACCTGTGTTGGCCCTGACAGAAGCTGGGTAGCTGACTGCCCGGCCCCGCTCCGCTGTGACAGTCACCACATATTCTACGCCTGGCATCAGGTCAGTCAGCAGCGTCCCGTCTGCTTCAGGGGGCACTTCCAGCCTCACCCTCTGGTTGCCGGCACTGACGTAGGACACCACAAATCGGTCCACCTCAGCCTGGGGACGCAGCCAGCCAAGCTCCAGTGTTGTCGGTGTCACAGCCACCACTCGGAGGTCCTGGGGCCCATCGATCACTAGCCAGGTTAAAGAGGAGGACTCAGGTGGGTGTCTGGTTCTTCAATCATCATCTTTCCTTCCAAGAGCCTAGCCCCCATCCAGCCCCTTCCTTCTGCCCTCCCGGAGGGCAGATTCCCTCTCTAGTCCAGATCTCCACTCAGGACACCCCTCCCCACAGCCCCAGCTCTCACTGGTGGTGATGGTCTTGGAGGCAGGAAGGCCCCAGCTGGTCCCTCGAAGGGCTCGGACAGTGACCTGGTACTCCTGTCCAGGGGCCAGTCCTCTCTGGTCATAGGCTGAGGCAGAGCTTGGAACCCGTGCTGTGAATGGGGGGCTCGCCCCCTCTGTCTGTGAGAGAGAGCACCAGGTGGCTCAGGGGCTGGCACTCTTGCCTCTGCTGCTCAATCCCCCTTATCTCTTCTTTCTCCAATTCTAAACAGTGTCAGCATGGTACTGTGTGGAACTTGACCCTGTACAAGCTGGGGAGCAAACATGCTGAGAGCGCTAACTCCTTGTGAGCCACTGTTCTAGGCGAGGTACACACATGAACTCACTTAATTCTCACAACAACCCTACGAAACAGGTCCTATTAGTCCCATTTTACAGATAAGGAAACTGAGACACAGAAGGACAAGTATCTTGCCAACGTCACCAACACCAAGAAAATGGCAAGAATTTAGGCCCTAGCAGTGTGATCCCAGAGTCCCCTCTCATGGGCACCCCCTATTTATCTGTCAGAGTCCCCTCTCATGGGCACCCCGTGTTCATCTGCCAGAATTCCACCCAACATGCACCAGGACTCTCCCTCCAGCTTTGCCCTGGCAACTCTGACTACCTGGGCATGAGGAGCCTTTTCCTAAGCTTGGTCCTGTCAGAACAAATGAAGTAGATCAAGGATGCCCCTTCAAGTTGCACTTTCTCCTTAAAGGGTCTGCCTCACCCTGAACCTCCTCGTAGATGCCTGCTCATGGCTGTGTAACAGGAGTGGGACCCGCATCACAACCTTTCCCTTGAGGGACTTTTCTTGTCTCTTCACCCGGGTTGTAGGCTCCTCAAAACAAGAACCACCTGCTCAAAGTTCCACAAATATGTTTCCTGATTGTTGATTTTGTACCTGGCATCATGCTGGGCATTGGAGACACAAAAATAAAATATATGGTCCCTGTCCTCAGGTAGCTGAGACTCTAATAGCTAAATGTATGGCCACATCTTGAATATATGAGATACTTACAACAATCTCTATGCTTAGCAAATGCTTGTGAGAAAACAACACTCCTACAAGTGTACATTTAAGGAATTATGATTATGTGTGGTGCCTCCAAAGGGAATCTACTGGACCCTGCTCCAGGCAGGGTCTCCTGGAATGCCCACCACTGGGGAAACAGGAGGAACTGTACATCTGTGAGCATTCTAACAGCCCCACATTTTGCTGTGCTGTCCAGCTAGGACAGCCGCTAAGGATGCTGTGTTCTGCCTAGCTATGTTGGCTGTGATGGGGACACCTCCATTCAGCCAAGTAGGATTGGAAATTTCAAAAGGTACTCTCCTAAACCAAGAGAACTGTGGGGAAATCAACATAGTAAATACCGAAGTATAAAACCAGATGAGAAGGCCACGTAGAGATTTCTGGGTTGAGGATGAAGTAAAGCTTTGTCAGTTTTCTGGGTTGAAAAGTTTTCCTGGGCACATAGGACCTCCAGCCCTCTCCTATTCACCCTGCCTTAGAATACCCCAGCCTAGGAAGCCTTGGGTTGGCCTCAACTCAAGACCCATGAAATCCTTACCCTTCCCAGAATTTATTTGTTCATTTTCTCTGTGTGTGTGTATGTCTCTTTCTCTTTATCCACACCCACCCCATCCCCACAGCCGCAATACACACACCTTGGATGCTCCCTGATGATGTCTGGTTCTTTCAGTGAGGCAAGCCTATCCCCAGAGTTCTCCTTCTCCCTATATATATCCTTTAGACACTTCTTGGTTCCTCCTGAGATCCATCTGGGAACAGTCCCCTGAAAGTCCATCAACCTAACCCATGTCTCCTACGTCTCCTAGCACCATCTTACTGGTCTGAAGCAGGCTTTCTTTTTTCTTTTTTTGAGAGGGAGTTTTGCTCTTGTTGCCCAGGCTGGAGTGCAATGGCGCGATCTCAGCTCATCGCGAGCTCCGCCTCCCGGGTTCAAGCGATTCTCCTGCCTCAGCCTCCCGAGTAGCTGGGATTACAGGCATGCGCCACCATGTCCGGCTAATTTTGTATTTTTAGTAGAGACGGGGTTTCTCCATGTTGGTCAGGCTGGTCTCGAACTCCCGACCTCAGGTGATCCACCCACCTCAGCCTCCCAAAGTGCTGGGATTACAGGCGTGAGCCACCACACCTGGCCCTGAAGCAGTCTTTCTAAACAGATGCTGGCAGCTGGCTCTGCCCCTTGGTAAAGCTTGGCTGCTTCACTGATTTTTTTTTTTTTTGAGACGGAATTTCGCTCTTGTCTCCCAGGCTGGAGTGCAATGGCACGATCTCAGCTCACTACAACCTCCGCCTCCAAGATTCAAGGGATTCTTCCTTAGCCTCCCAAGTAGCTGGGATTACAGGCATACACCACCATGCTCAGCTAATTTTGTATTTTTAGTAGAGATGGGGTTTCACTATGTTGGTCAGGCTGTTCTCAAACTCCTGACCTCAGATGATCCACCCACTTTGGCCTCCCAAAGTGCTGGGATTACAGGCATGAGCCACTGCGCCTGGCCTGCTTCACTGATTTTGTTCTTGGGAAGTTTTAGAGTTTATCTCAATATTAACCTCGTGGCTCCAGATGAACTCTACCTTGGCTGGTCCTTGGAGCTTATCTCACCCTCATTGCTGTTTTTAGACTAGACCCAAGCAAAAACTTCTCTGAGGCTGTGAGGTTTTGAGTCCCAGTGAACACTTAGCCTAGCCCTGATTTCCAGGCTGCAGGACACACCCAGACAAGGAATATCTGAACCTCTTTCTCATTCAGGAACTCATCTCCCTCAGTTTCCCCATGCTTTCTCTCACATTCATAGTGGAGCTAGCACTTTGCAAAATAGCAACATTCCTTCACTTAGGGGGCCTCAGGCTGGAGGGGCATCAGAATCACCTGGAGGGCTTGTTGCAATACAGGTTACTGGGCTCTGTGCCCAGACTTTCTGACTCAGTAGATCTAGTGGGGGAGTCTGACAATTTGCATGCCTAACATACTCCCAGGTGATGCTGATGCTGCAGGTCCAGGGAACACACTTTGAGAACCACTGAGTCAGAGTAACAGTGCCACATATACAGGGAGAGGAGAAACTTTCTTCTTCTGCATTCTGAAAAATAATTCCAATAACTAGGTATGTCCCTTGATCTGGAATAGCAGAGTTTGGGCTTTGAGAGAGAAGTGCTTCTGGGAAGAGGGAAGGTAAGAGGTAGAGATAGGCTTCTAGGATGACAGCAGCAGCCAGAGGACAGACAGCTATTGAATATACTCTGTACCCACAGAAATGGACAAAGGGTAGCTGGGCATTGTGGCAGGTGTCTGTAATCCCAGCTACTTGGGAGGCTGAGGCAGGAGAATCGTTTGAACCTGGGAAGCAGAGGTTGCAGTGAGCCGAGATTGCGCCATTGCACTCCAGCCTGAGCAACAAGAGCAAAACTCTGTCTCAAAAAAAAAAAAAAGAAAGAAAGAAAAGAAAAGAAATAGATGGCACTTGCCAAGGCAGAAGGTACGATGCCAGGGACCAGCTACAGACAGCAGAAAGCATGGTCTGAGGGTGGGTAGCCCAGGCCCAAGAGGAGTGTCTGGGGACCAATTTTACAGGAGTGTTTTCCACACCCAGGCTCAGAGAAGACCCAGAATGTGACAGATGCCCATACCGAGAGCAGAATGGATGAGCTAAGAACATGGCCAAGCCTGGCACAGGCCAACTTGGCACCACCATCCTGGCTCTGAGTGAGGGAGAAAGTCTAGGGCTTCAACTGGAAAGCGGCGCCCTTGACAACACCAAGGATCGGTTTGTATTTATTTACTCAGAGCAGGAGACAACTGCTGCCCTAAAAGCTCCTCTTATCTCAAGTGTTTATTTTAATTCTTCTTTCCCTGAAATTTCTTAAGAAACTTCCTTTTCGAAGTCCCACCCTTTCAAGATTAGAGCTATGTAAATAATATATACAGAGAAGAAGAGAGTGGGAGAAACACTTTAAAATGTTAGCAGTGCTTGTTTTAGTGAGGAGCAGCCAGGAATTGTTTTTCTTTTCTCTAGTTGCCAAATTCTTGTCTCGTGATTAAAGTATTTTTATAACAACAACAAAAAAAGATGTTTAAACAGAAGAAAAAATTCAAGCTATCTTGGTTGCGCCACGAAGTTGAGATTTCTGCTTCTGCTTTGGCTGGAGAGTGAGGAGAGGCAGAACATAGTAGGGGGCTGGCCTGAGGAGCATAATGACAAGACAAAGCAAAGTGGAGTGAGGATGACAGTTCCTCTGAGCTGTCCCCTTCTGTCCTAGTGCCTTCCGAGGCTTTAGGCCCAGGGAGTTGTTTATTTTTACAGAGTCCTGGCTAAGCTGATGAAGATGAGGATGACATGGCCCACACCCCATATGGCATTTGTGGGATGATGCAGGAAAACATGAGTTGGATGGTAGAAATGTCAGAAGATTTGCAGCTGGGGAAACGACCATATCTTAAAAGCCCAGTCTGCACAAAGGGAGGCCCCAAATAAGTGACCACAAGGCTTTGTCCTTAGGGTGTTCCCTCTAATGTTTTAAGAGCAAGTTGGATGGCCAGGAGTGGTGGCTCATGCCTGTAATCCCAGCACTTTGGGAGGCTGAGGCGGGCAGATCACTTGAGCCCAGGAGTTCAGGACCAGCCTGGGCATGCAACATGGAGAAACCCCGTCTCTACTAAAAATACAAACATTAGCAGGCTAAGGTGGTGCACACCTGTAGTCCCAGCTACTTGGGAGGCTGAGGTAAGAGGATGACCTAAGCCTGGGATGCAGAGGTTGCAGTGAGCTGAGATGGCACCACTGCACTCGAGCCTGGGCCACAGAGTGAGACTCTCTGTCTCAAAAAAAAAAAAAAAAAAAAAAAAAAAAAGAGCAAGTTGGAGGGAGACAGAGAAAAAACTGGTTTGCATGTACTGATGACAAGGAGGTGGGAGATGAAGTTCACAGACTCAAAATTATTGCAACAGCCTAGACAGCTTGGCCCAAACCAAAAAAGATAACATTGAACAGGGCCAAATGCAAAGGCCTATATTTAGGTGAAAAAAAAAAAAGTGTATATAGTTGAATGTTGTCTTCTTTCCTTCCATCTTTTTTCCCTGCTAATCTGTATTTTCTAAGTTTTCTGCACGGGGCCTATATTACTTTTATAATTAAAAGTTACTTAAAAAACCAAATATGACCAAAACAGCTGCCTGCTTGTGTGACTACAAATTGCTATACGCCAGCTCTGAGAAAAGTGTCCATAAATTCAGAGTAAGTCAGTGGGCCCCTCTCTGTCCCCACATTTTGGGGGCACATGAAAAAAGCAAGAATCACAGGAAGGTAAAGGATTCAGAGAATAAAGACTTAGGGAAAAGGGGCGAAGAAACTGGGAGGTTTTGCCTGAGGAATGAAGACATCAGGCTGGTGTCTCCAAATACCTGAAGGCCTGTGGTGTAGGACACAGGGAAAGCAAAAAACATTCCAGCTGCTGATGAATACCCAGCTAGGGCCAACGGACAGGTGCTAGAATAGGGGCAGACGGATTCTGCAACAATGATAACAGCTAACAGTGATGACCAACAATGGACTGGACAGCCTCAGGAAGTACTGAGCTCTCTGTTACCAGGTGTTCCAACTGTGTGGGACCAATGCTTGCTGGAGATGCTGCAGAGGCCTCAGTGCCCAGTGTCAAGCAGGCTAAGAAAGCCTTTACAGCAGCTTCAGGTACCCAGCCATCTGGACTCAACCAATGATCACCTGGAACTTCCTCCAGGAGGTGAGCCCTGCCCCCCTGTCCTGCCCACTCAGTCCCCTCCTGGAGCCTGGCATCTCTCTCACCGTGGGGATGAACTGAATTTCATAGGCATCCACGGGGCCAGGAGCCGGGGTCCACTCTGTCCGAACTGTTGTCTCCTCCAAGAGATGCATCCTCATGCCCTCAATGGTTGGCACCTCTGCCCAAGAGAATGGGTTAGGGAAAGCTGGTTAGCACAAGGCAACCACCCCCACCCACAGCCCCTTTTACTCAGGGACATCGAAGAGGCCCATCCTAACTCCCACTCCTCTCTGCTAGTGGAGAATAGCTGACAGGGCTGAACGGGGCTTGGATCGCCTTCACCTTCTCTCCATCTTCAGGAGCACAGAATCTCCCTAAATGCAACTAAATGGGCCCCAACCTGCTCCTCAGAGATCTGAAGGCCAGTCCTGCCCACTGGAAAGCCCCACCCCTGTGGTTCTGCTGCCCCTGGTGGGCACTGGCTCCTTGGAATGACATGCTCTCCCTCCACTCTTCCTCAGGCTCAGGTCTTCCCCATGGCTCCTGTTCACAGAATCACAGTCCCAGAGTACACTGGGGAAGGCTGCCTGCTCACCTTCTCCGCAGTCTTCGCCAGCATACCCATCTTTGCAGACACAGCTGCCATCGTGACACTCTCCTCGGCCACGGCAGTCCCCTGGGCATGTCTGGATGGCACAGTCAGGGCCTCGGAAGCCCTCTACACACACACACTGGCCTGCCCGGCACAGTTCCCGGGGCCCGCAGCCTCCAGGGCAGGCGCTGGCTGGAGGCTCTTCCTGCCCGCAGTCCTCACCGCCATAGCCCACGTGGCACAGGCACACTCCTTGCACACACCGCCCACGTCCCCGGCAGTCAGCCGGGCACATGCGGGTGGCACAGGTAGGGCCGGTGTAGCCTGGGTCGCACAGGCAGCGCCCTTCCTCACAGCGGCCCCTCCCGTGGCAGTTGGAGGGGCAGGTGCGGATGCTGCAGTCCTCACTCACGTAGCCTTCCCAACAGATGCACACACCGTCCTGGCACACGCCGTGCTGGCTGCAGTCATTCGGGCACTGCCTCACACCGCAATCCTCGCCAGAGTAGCCGTCCTCGCACACACACCGCCCATCTAGGCACTGGCCGCGGCCTCGGCAGCCCCCGGGGCAGCTGCGCGTGCTGCAGTCTTCCCCTGAGTAGCCTGCGTCACACACGCACACGCCATCCTCGCAAAGGCCGTGCCCACGGCAGTCCCCGGGACAGCGACGGCTCCCACAGTCCTCACCGGTGAAGCCCGGGTTGCACACGCAGCGGCCATCCACGCAGCGCCCGCGCCCGCGACAGTCGCCAGGACAGGCGCGCGTGCCGCAGTCCCGGCCTGTGTACCCCGGCCAACACATGCAGCGGCCACTCTCACAGCGGCCCCGGCCACGACAGTCCCCAGGACAGCTGCGCACACCGCAGTCCTCGCCGCTGTAGCCCGCATTGCAAACACACACGCCGTTCTCGCAGCGCCCGCGACCTCTACAGTCGCGTGGGCAGGCGCGCGAGCCGCAATCGGTTCCAGTGTACCCCGGCCAGCACACGCAGCGGCCGTCCTCGCAGCGGCCCCTTTGGTTGCAGTCGCCAGGGCAGCTGCGCACGCCGCAGTCGTCCCCGCTGTAGCCCGTGTCGCAAATGCATTCGCCGTCCTCGCAGCGCCCGCGGCCCCGGCAGTCCCTCGGACATGTCCGCGTGCTGCAGTCCTCGCCTGTGTACCCGGGCCAGCACACGCAGCGGCCGTCCACGCAGCGCCCGCCCTCGCCACAGTCCCAGGGGCAGCTCCGCGTACCACAGTCCTCGCCAGTGTAGCCGGGGTCACACACGCAGCGCCCGTCCTTGCAGCGTCCCCGCTGGCTGCAGCCCCGAGGGCAGCTCCTCACCCCACAGTCCTCGCCAGTGTAGCCGGGGTTACACACGCAGCGCCCATTCTCACAGCGCCCCCTCTGACTGCAACCGCGAGGGCAGCTCCTCATGCCACAGTCGTCACCAGTGTAGCCTGGGTCACACACGCAGCGCCCACCCTCACAGCGTCCCCTCTGGCTGCAACCTCGAGGGCAGGAGCGCTGGCTGCAGTCGGGGCCTGAGAAGCCTGCCCGGCACACACACACGCCCTGCACGCAGCGCCCACGGCCTTGGCAGTCCCCGGGACAGGATGGCCAGCCACAGCTGGGGCCAGTGTAGCCGGGAAAGCACACGCAACGACCACGGACACAGCGACCCTGATCATTGCAGTCATCTGGGCAGGACCCCGAGGCTGAGGGTGGGGAAGAGGGAGGGATCTCAGCATCTGTGGGGTCTGAGCAGGTGGGCCCACCCCAGCCTGGCTCACAGGAACAGGTGCAGCGGCTCAGATCAAACACACCATGGAGACTGCAGAGGGTCCGCACATCTGTCTGACCTGGAGTAGGAGGGGAGAGGCAAGTCTCAGTCTCTCTCCTGGGAGAGAGGCTGAGCCTATGTAGTGCTCCTATGTGCAGGCCCCTAGCCAGGCTAGCCTCATCTCATAAGGCCATGTCTGCTCCCAGTTGCTAGTATGTGTAATGTATGCAGCCTCTCAGGGCCCTCGCATATGCTTTGGTTGACATGTAGCCCAGCTCTGCTCTCCAAGTTGTGTTCTGGGCTGCATCCACACCCCTCATGGTGAGGAAGGAGTGCCTTCTTCTAATTCATACCAAGGACCTTTATGGACTAGCAATGCCCACCCCACCCCACCTCTCCACCCTCTTCTGTGATCACCTGCTCACCTGTGCCAGCTTGGGCAGAGGCAGGACAACATCCCCCAGTGCACTGTTCCTTGAGCCCCTTCACCAACTCCTCCAGGATCTCTAGACGGACCCTCAGGGCCTGTACCTCTGAAGCAAGGACTGGGGGCTCGGTGCCTGGGGGACAGCCACAGCCAGTGGAAGGGGGCAGGTTAATGCGGTGGGTGAATACCACCTGCTTCTCCCCTCCTTCCACTGTGTGCTCGTAAAGCTGAGAAGAGGGGCTTCCCACTCCAGCCCCCACTGTGTGGCCCCCTGGCTGGGGAGGGGGCCGGGGGGCTGGCAGTGTCACATTGGACCGTGAAGAGAAGGGGCCTGCTCTGGCTGTGCTCAGCAGCACCAGGAGAACCAGGCTGGAGGTTAGAGCATACTGGGCTGGCATCATTCAGGAGGCTGCAGGGAGAAAGGGTAGGTATGAGAGCAGCTTCAAAAAGGAGACAAAATGAATCCCCCCTTCTCCAGCACATACCCACGGTCCCACCACCCACAAGTAATCTACCCAACTCACATGCATGTAAAAATTCACATTCCGCCCAACCCTAAAGGATACCCTCCCTGGGCAAGTCTGTTCTCTACCTCTCTGATATCATTTATTTACCCTGCTCCTCACCCCCTTTTCTATTGTGTTCCCCTACACTGGTTTTTTTGTTTTGTTTTGTTTTGTTTGTTTGTTTGAGACGGAGTTTCACTCTTATTGCCCAGGCTGGAGTGCAGTGGTGCGATCTCAGCTCACCACAACCTCCGCCTCCCAGGTCCAAGCGATTCTCCTGCCTCAGCCTCCTGAGTAGCTGGGATTACAGGCATGCCCCACCATGCCTGGCTAATTTTGTACTTTTAGTAGAGACCGGGTTTCTCCATGTCGGTCAGGCTGGTCTCAGACTCCTAACCTCAGGTGATCTGCTCGCCTCAGCCTCCCAAAGTGCTGGGATTACAGGCATGAGCCACCGCACCCGGCTCTACACTGGTCTTTTGTTTTTCCCACGAGCACTACAAGCTCTCACTACTCCAAGGGCCTTTGCATTGTGTGTTCCCTATGTCTGGGATGCTCTTCACTCTGCTCATAAAGGCTGGCTCCATCTTCAAATCTTAACTCCCAGTTAGGGCAGTCTTCCATTACTCTCTATCACAATATCCTGTTCCTGTTCTTCATGGCATTTACTGCTGTCTGAGTTATCAGTTTACTTATTACCTTTCTCTCAATGCTACAATGGGAGCTCCATGAGAACAAGGACCTCATCTATCCCAGGACTGCTGTATACTTGTGTCTGGCACATAAATGTTCTATCTGACACATCAATGTTGAATGAATTAGTGGATGAGTACCTAGGGCCAATCCTTCCCCAAACACCTGGATCCCAGCTCCTACTGTCTTCTAAGAAAAGTGCAGATTATCTTCTCCCTCTCTCTCTCACTTTTTTTTTTTTTTGAGATGGAATCTTACTCTGTCGCCCAGGCTGGAGTGCAGTGGTGCGATCTCGGCTCACTGCAACCTCTGTCTCCTAGCTCAAGTGATTTTCCTGCCTCGGCCTCCTGAGTAGCTGGGATTATAGGTGCCCACCTCCATGCCCAGCTAATTTTTGTATTTTTAGTAGAAATGAGGTTTCACCATGTAGGCAGGCTGGTCTCGAACTCCTGACCACAAGTGATGTGCCCGCCTTGGCCTCCCAAAGTGCTGGGATTACAGGCATGAGTCACCGCACGACCTCTTTCTAATATAGAGACAGGATCTTGCTCAACCCCCTGGTTGAAGCTGGACTTGAACTCCTGGGCTCAAGCCATCCTCCCACCTCAGCCTCCCAGGTAGCTGGGATTAAAAGCATGAGCCACCATGCTTGGCTTCTCTCTCTTTTTTATTCAACTCCTCACTCTCAACTGGATCCTTGCTCAAATATCTCCAATTGAAAAAAAAAAAACAAAAATCCTCTTCCTCAGGACTTACATGATCAAATATCAAGACTTATTTTAAAGGTGCAAGGATAGACAGATGAAACAGAATAGGGCCCAGAAACAGGCCCACACATATGTGGTCAACTAATTAACGACAAAAGTGCCCCTGCAGTTAAGAGGAGAAAGGATGGTCTTTTTAGTTCCTGGTGCTGGGTCAATCCAACATCCCTAAGTAAAAAAAAAAAAAAAAAAAAAAAAACAGTCATTCTCCACCTTATGTCTGATATACCGAAATTAATTTGAGATGAACCCAGGACCTAAATAAGAAAAGTAAAGCAATATCTTTCATAGCAATATCTTACAGAAAATTTCTGACCTTGGAGTAAGCAAGATTTCTTTTTTTTTTTTTTAAGACTGAGTCTTGCTCTGTCGCCCAGAGTGGAGTACACTGGTGCTATCTCGGCTCACTGCAACCTCCGTCTCCCAGGTTCAAGTGATTCTCCTACCTCAGCCTCCTGAGTAGCGGGGATTACAGGCATCTGCTCCCACACCCAGCTATTTTTTGTATTTTTAGTAGAGACGGGGCTTCACTATGTTGGCCAGGCTGGTCTCAAACTCCTGAACTCAGGCAATCCGCCCGCCTCGGCTTCCCAAAGTGCTAGGATTACAGGCTTGAGTCACTGCACCCAGCCGCAAGATTTCTTAAGTAAAACACACACAAAACCTAACCATAGGCCGGGTGCAGTGGCTCGTATCTGTAATCCCAGCACTTCAGGAGGCTTAAGTGTGAGGATTGCATGAGCCCAGGAGTTGGAGACCAGCCTGGGTAAGATAGTGAGACTCTGTCTCTACAAAAAACAAAAAGAATTCACTGGGCGTGGTGGTACACCTGTAGTCCCAGCTACTCAGGGGCTGAGGTGGGAGGATTACTTGAGTCTGGGAGGTCGAGGCTGTGGTGAGCTGTGATCATGCCACTGCACTCCAGCCTGGGCAACAGAGCTGATACTCTGTTTCAAAAAAAAGAAAAAGAAAAAAACAAAACAAAATTTCAGGTCATCAAATTACATCATTAAGAGAATAAGAAGGCAGCTGGGTGTGGTGGTTCACACCTGAAATCCCAGCACTTTGGGAGGCTGAAGTGGGCGGATCATGAGGTCAAGAGTTCAAGACCAGCCTGGCCAACATGGTGAAACCCCATCTCTACTAAAAATACAAAAATTAGCTGGGCGTGGTAGCGGGCACCTGTAGTCCCAGCTACTCGGGAGGCTGAGGAGGAGAATCGCTTGAAACTGGAGGCGGAGGTTGCAGTGAGCTGAGATCATGCCACTTCACTTCAGCCTGAGAGGAAGAGTGAAACTCCATCTCAAAAAAAAAAAAAAAAAAAAAAAATCTCTGCAAAACAAAATAAGCCAAAATCAGGAAACCTAGTTTTTTAAATTGTCAAAAGACAAACAGGTACTCCAGAAAAGAATATAGCCAAAGAGCCAATAAACATTTTATTTATTTTACCTGGGCTCAAGTGATTCTCCTACCTCAGCCTCTGGAGTAGCTAGGATACAGGCATGCGCCACATGCCCAGCTCATTTTTTTTGTAGAGATGGAGTCTTGCTCTTTCGCCCAGGCTGGAGTGCAGTGGTGCGTCTTGGCTCACTGCAAGCTCTGCCTACCAGGTTCATGCCATTCTCCTGCCTCAGCCTCCTGAGTAGCTGGGACTACAGGCGCCCACCACCATACTTGGCTCATTTTTTTGTATTTTTAGTAGAGATGAGGTTTCACCGTGTTAGCCAGGATGGTCTCGATCTCCTGACCTCGTGATCCGCCCACCTTGGCCTCCCACAGTGCTGGGATTACAGGCGTGAGCCACCGCACCCAGCCTTTTTTTTTTTTTTTTTTTTAGTAGAGACAGGGTTTCACCAAGTTGGCCAGGCTGGTCTCAAACTCCTGACCTCAAGTGATCTGCCTTGGCCTCCCAAAGTTATTAGGATTACAGGCATGGGCCACCACACCCACCCTATTTCATTTTATTTTAAGATAAACTCTACCTCTGTCACCCAGGCTGAAGCACAGTGGCACAATCACAGCTCACTGCAGCCTCAAACTCCTGGGCTCAAGTGATCCTCCTGCCTCAGCCTCCAGAGTAGCTGGAACTACAGATGGGCATCACCATGCCTGGCTAATTTTTAAATTTTTTGTAGAGATGGGATCTTGCTGTGTTGCCCAGGCTGGCCTTGAACTCCTGGCCTCAAGCAATCCTCCTGCCTCACCCTCCACAGTAGTTGGGCTTACAGGTGTGAGCCACTGCACCCAGATCCAAGCAGCATTTTAAAAGATGCACAAAATCACTAGTTATCGGGTAAATGTACGTTAAAACCACAATAAGATGCCACTAAATATCCTCCAGAATGCTTGTCCCTCTTCAAAGAGGCTGTCATTGCTTGATATTGGCAAGAATGTGAAGCAGCTGGAATTGTCATCTGTTGCAAGTGGGAGCATATATTAATGCAAACACTGGAAAGTTGTTTGGTAGTATCTGCTAAAACATATAGTCTATAACCCAGATATCTATAACTAAATATCCGGTGGGAATGACTGCATAGTTCTTCCAAAAGACGTAGACCATAATGTTCATGAGATTTATTCCTATATTAGCTAAAACTGAAAGCAACTCAAGTGTCCATTCATAAAGTGGATAAATAAATTGTGCCAGAGTCATACAATGGAATACTATACAGCAATAAAAAACACCCTATTGCTACATGCAACATGGGTGAATTTCACACACATAGTGCTGAGTAAAAAATATCACACACAGAAAGAGAATGCTCTTATACTCTTATATACCCTTCCTGAGCTACCAAAAAAAGAAAAAAGAAAACACTCTGAATAATGCCGTTTATATGAGGTTCAAAAACAGGCAGAGGCTGGGTGCAGTGGCTCATGCCTGTAATCCCGGCACTTTGGGAAGCCGAGGCGGGCGGATCACGAGGTCAAGAGATGGAGACCATCCTGGCCAACACGGTGAAACCCTGTCTCTACTAAAAATACAAAAATTAGCTGGGCATGGTGGCACACACCTGTAGTCCCAGCTACCTGGGAGGCTAAGGCAAAAGAATTGCTTGAATCCCAGAGGCGGAGGTTGCAGTGAACCAAGATAATGCCACTGCACTCCAGCCTGGCAACAGATCAAGACTCTATGTCAAAAAACAAACAAAAAAACAAACAAAAACAGGCAGAGTTAATCTTTGCTTTTAGAAGATAGGATCAGATTACTTGTAGGGATTATTGACCGGAAGGAGTCATATTTCTGGAAATATTTTGTATCTTAATCTGGGTGGTTACATAGATATATACATATTCAAAAACTCATTGAGCTGCACACTTAAGACTTTGGCATTTTGCTGTATAAAAATTGAACCATGGCTGGGTGTGGTGGCTCATGCCTGTAATCTCAGTACTTTGGGAGGCCAAGGTAGGCGGATCACTTGAGGTCAGGAGTTCAAAACCAGCCTGGCAATCATGGTGAAACCCCGTCTCTACTAAAAATAAAAAATAAAAAAAAATTAGCTGGGCATGGTGGCAGGTGCCTGTAATCCCAGCTACTTGGGAGGCTGAGGCGGGAGAATCGCTTGAACCTGGGAGGCAAAGGTTGCAGTGAGTTGAGATTGTGCCACTGCACTCCAGCCTGGGCAACAGAGCGAGACTCCATCTCAAAAAAAAAAAAAAATGAAACCTTAAAAAACCTATCCCCAATCTCACACCCCCTCCAGCCACCATATTTCTCTCCTCTACTTCATGGCCACAGTTGTCAAAATTTATTTGTATTTGATGTTTACATTTCCTTATAGCCTATGCATGCCTCAATCCACTCTACTCCCTCCAACCCACCAAACAGCTCCCTCTAGGGCTTCCCAATGACTTCGGTGCCACAAAATCTAAGGGACATTTGTCTTCATCTTGCTTGACCTTTGACTTCTCTCAAAATCACTAGACACAGTTCACCGCATCTTTTTTTTTTTTTTTTTTTTTTGAGATGGAGTCTCACTCTGTCGCCCAGGCTGGAGTGCAGTGGCACGATCTTGGCTCAATGCAACCTCTGCCTCCTGGGGTTCAAGTGATTCTCCTGCCTCAGCCTCCCGAGCAGCTGGGACTACAGGCACCCGCTACCACACCTAGCTAATTTTTTATTTTTAGTAGAGACGAGGTTTCACCATCTTGACCAGGCTGGTCTTGAGCTCCTCAGCTCAGGTGATCTGCCCACCTCGGCCTCCCAAAGTGCTGGGGTTACAGGCATGAGCCACCACACCTGGCCCTTCTCTTTTAAAACATTCTGTATCCACGCTGACCAATATGGTAGCCAGGAGGGATATGAGGCTCTGCAACACTTGAGATGTGACTAGAACGACCAAGTAAGTGAATTTTACTCAGTATTTTTAAAAGCTCCCCAGATGATTGTAATGTGCAACAAATTTCTACTAAATTAATAGACCTACTGCTCTAGTCATCCACCTGGTACCTTCATCCAGACTTATAACTTCAATTTCCAAACTATACACCAATTTGTAAAACACCCCAGTCATCTTCCTCTCGCTCCACAGCAATATATCCACCTGCCTACTTGGCATCTCCACTTGGGCACCTCAAATTCACCATGCCTGTAACCTGAACTCACGGTCACCTTCCTGTATCCCATCCCCTCCCAGAATTCCCCATTGAAGCTCAGGACCCCACCATTCATCCAGCTTTACAAGCCAGAAACCTAATAGCCCATTCAAGGCTACCATATTTCCTTGTATCTACCTGTATTTTCTCATAAACATCTCTTTAATTCATTTCCTTCTCTCCCACTTACCTTCATTCTAATCCAAGCTTCCATCCGCCTCTTGCCTGACAACTGCAATTGCCTCCTGGCTGCTTTTTTTTTCTTTTTTTTTGAGACAGGGTCTCACTCTGTCACCTAGGCTGGTGTGCAGTGGTGCGATCATAGCTCGCTGCAGCATTGACCTCCTGTTGCTCAAGCAATCCTCCCACCTCAGCCTCCTGAGTAGTTGGGACTACAGGTGTGTGCCATCACGCTCAGCTAATTTTTAATTTTTTTTGCAAAGACAGGATCTTTCTATGTTGCTCGGGCTGGCCTTGAACTCTTGGACTCAAGCAATCCTCCCACCCTAGCCTCCCAATGTGCTGGGATTACAGGCGTGAGCCACTGTGTCCAGCCCTGACCCTTCCCTCTGCTTCCACTCTTGCCCTCTACAGTCTCACAAACGCAATCAGGATGTCCCTATCCTCAAAATGCTTCAGTGTCTCCCTTCCAAATTCTCTTAGAACACTGACAAACAGCCCTACCATCATGTATCCCCTGCTCCCACTTCACCACCCATAACATTTCCCTCCCTCCCTCCATTCCAGCTCCACTGACCTTCAAGTCCCTCATACTCTCTGTGCCCATCCCCAACCCCAGATCTTTGTATACTCTGTTCCATCCGTGTGGAACACTGTTCCCTTCTCTCTTGGCCTTCTCATCCTTCAGGTCTCAGCCCGCCATTTTTTTCACAGGGAAGTTTTCCTGACCAGGTCAGGTCCTCCTATCATGTGATATCACAGCATCATGCCATTCTCATGTGTAGCGTTTATAACAATTTGCAATCATATATAAACAAATATTTTTTTGAAGTCCAAAGTAATAATAAATATACTGTGAGATTATTTTATTACTTTCTTGCCCACTAGACTATAAAGTCCATGAGGGCAGGCATGGCACCTATTTTTTTTTCTTGGCTGCTGTATCCCTGCATCTGGCACATAACTGGTGCTCAATAAATATTTACCGACTATATGAATGAATGAAAAGTTCAATGTAAACGCAGGACTAGCATTAAGGCTGGAACCAAGGGCAGGACCAAGGTCAGGGCTAGGACCACGGACAGTGTCTGGGACTGGAAGTTGGTTAGACACAGCCACCAGGGCTGAGGCAGAATCAGAGGCCAGGCCAGGGAAGATCCTGGCAGGACCAGATGGTACAAGCACTTTGGAAAACTGTTTGACAGAATCTACTAAATGTACTAAAGGTGAACACATGCAAACCCTATGACCCCGCAATTCCACTCCTAGGAATATACCCAACATAGCTCATAATAGCCCCAAACTGGGAACTACTCAAACATTTCACATCAGTAGAATAAATAAATTGTGGTTTATTCACACCGTGGAATAAAATAAAGCAGGAATGAACTATAGTTATATGCAGTAGTGTGATGGATCTTACTAAGATGATGTTGAACAAAAGCCAGACACAGGAAAGAGCATGCTGCACAGTTCTATTTATGTGAAGTTTGAGGAGAGGCAACATTAATCTGTAGTGCTCCAAGTCAGAAGTGTGATACTCTTGAGGGGGTAGTGACTAGTAGGGGCATGGGGGGGGGGGCTTCTGGGGTGCTAAAGGTGTCTTGTTTCTTGATCTGGATGACGGTTACCCAGTTGTATGTGTTTGTGGAGTTTACTGAGGCAGGGATTGGGGAGCACACAGAGACAAGAGGTGGGAGGAAAGGTGGTAGGGGGGTCCCAGGATAAGACAGGAGACAGGGCTATGGCAAACCTGAGTGTGAGGGGGCCAGTCAGGATTCAGCTAGGGTGAAGAGTTGAGGAGAGATGTTGAAAGGTGCCCAGCTCTTCCAGACCAGAGGCTGGGGAAAGGAGGAGGGCAGGGTGGGTGTGGAAATGCTGACCGGTGAGGAGTGGGGGATGTGTCACTGGTAGGCGGAGGTGACTGTGACACACACACACCTCCACCCAACACGCACACATCTTCTGGCTTTCTACTCTTAAACTTTTCTCCTGGATCAGAGAAAAAGGAGTAATTGGGGCTACCAGCCATCACATTCTGCTACCAGCCAGCAAGAGACGGAAAGGGAGCTGAACAGGGACAGAGTGTTTCCACACCAAGAGGCTCCCCACCCAAGAAAGCCCAGGCCGAGAGGCCTGGCATACAGAGAGCTGCCCTTTCCTGTCTCCCCAGCCCTTCTCTCAGCCTGGAGTGTAGCCTTGGGTAAGAGATGGGCTCTGACCGACCCTCAAATCCTGTCACTTTGTGTCTAAGGCCATGCTAATCACTCCCACACCCTGGGAATGCTTGCACAAAGATGTGTACACATGTACACTTACAAATATATTAATGTGTGCTCATCCACAAGTACAAACATACCTGCACAGACACACAAATCCACCCCCAAAACCTGCATCCTTGTAGGTACACATATGGGTGCCCATGCACACACGTGCACACACACCCAATCTCCCCTTCAGGTTTCCCCCACACCTAGTCATTGGGTGATGCCTAAGAAGGCTGATTTCTTGTTGGCTCCGAGGGCAGCTCTGTGAGTGAAAGAACCTGGATGGTGTGAGAGGAACAAAGCAGGAGGCCCTTCCCAGTGGGAAGCAGCGGACACATGGCCTCCACCATACTTCCCCGTACCCCTGGAGGCCTCTGTGAGTTGTCCAGTGCCCCTCCCCAAATAAGTGGATTCCTCATCTTTCCCTGCACAGTGGGGGAAAGCAGAGAGGGTCTTTGCACCAGGAAGGAGTGAAGAGAGCTCACCAGCTTTTCTGGAAAGCTGGTGAGATTGGTCTAGAAGAGCAGAGCAGCCTCCATTGACCACACACCCAGAGGCTCCTTCCCAATCTCCCTCCCTGCCCTGTTGCCACCACCCAGCCCTCCAGCTCCCCATTCCAGCTCCTGGGATAATTCTGCTCTTCTCTCGGTACTGGGCAAGCAAAGAATTGGGTGTCTCTTGTGTCTCCCCTTCACCATTCCCCCTGCCACTATGTCTGGGGTGGTTCTCTGTAGTGTGTGTTTGGAGAGAGATATGGCCTCACCCTCTTGGCACCCTCCCCACAGTTGGAGGGCTGGCAGGGATGGGGGCATCTTCCCAAACTGTGACTCAGCTTCCTGGGTATTTTGTGTTGTAGCCAACTTTGACACTTTGCTCATTAGGGACTGTATAGGTCCCAAGGGGTGGGGAGAGGGGCTGGCTTCCATAAAAGATGTTCCACAGATGGGGGTTCTGGTCCCGCCCCCATGCCTCCCTCTGACCCTCCTGCTACACCCTCAGTTGAATCTGGCAATGAGAGGTGAAGGTAGAAGGATTCTAGGAGTGAGACTAAAAAGGGAATGTGGGGGTCTCAGATATTGGGCTGGAACCAGGTAGGAAGGAGGTGTCAGGGAGGGGTAGGTTGGGGAATCCAGATACCCCTTATTCTGGGGAGCTAATCGGCCTGGGAATGGAAAAATTAAGAGAAAGGATTTCCAGGCCCCAGCTGAAAATGGTTAGGGGTGCAATGAGAGACAGGAAGGCAGTTTCTGGTCCTGCACCTAGTGGCTAGGTCTGGAGTGAGCAAAGGAAGTTTGAGGAATTGAGGTGCTGGGTCCCCAGGGACTTGAAGGCAGGGTCAGGGAAAAGAGGAGGGGCTGGAGATGCGGGAAGCAGGGGCAGGGCAGGCAGCAGCTGTGGTGTTTCCGAGTTGCTTCCCAGTAGTTCCTCTCAGTTCCACTTCCAGTTGTTTCTATGCCATTAAATTCTTTCCAGGCGAGATAAGGGGCCCGCCCTTCCCACCCGGGGCGTGTCACGTGTACTGGTGGTGGGGGGCGGGGGCGGCGAGGTGAGGGAGAGTGCGGGTTCAGACAGACAGAGGCAAGGGGAGCCTGGAAGGGGCACAGAGTGAAGACGGAGCCCCTGTGCCCCCAGAGGCATCTCTCAGCCATCCCAGCCCTGCTGAACCGTGAGTCATGAGTGCAGAGCTCTGGCCAAGAACAAGTTTTAGGATCCTCTCTGCAGGCTCTGTGCACGTCCCAGACCCGAGTCCTGACTGTCCCATTTCAGTATTTCCTAAAGAGATCTCCCAGACCTCCCTCCCTGCAACTCTCACGCTGCCACCTAGGGAGTCCCCATTTGGATGCCCAAAGAAGCACCCTCTGGCACCTCCTGGAGCCTGGAGCCCCCAGAGCCTAGGCTCAGCTGCTCTAGCCCGACATTTGGGATTCCGCAAGCACTTTCCTTCCAAGGTTCAGCTGGCCACCAGTTCAGCCTAGTCCTATCTTCCCGCTAGCCCCAGCACCTCCAGGGCCCAGGGGCTCACCTCACCAATAACCACCTCTACCCTGGTTCCACCATCTGACTCCCGGAGTCCCTCGGTTTGTTCCCAGCCCCTCTCAGTTGTCTGCATCCCATCCAAACCCTGACACATACTGCCCACCCCAACACACACATACCACCCTCTCCTCCCAGACACTCCTTCACAGGGAGCCTGGTTCCCAGCGAATGCTCCTATGTCCTCTGTCCTGAACAGAAGTCCTTGCTCTGGAAGCACTGCTGAGAGCTCACCTGCCACACCTTCACCTGGGGCATGGGGATAGGCGAGAAATCCCTTGCCTCTCCTTCTGGGTCTCCCCAGAACTCTGTTCCTTACCTGGGCAACCGAGCAGCTGCAGTGCCTCTGCACCTGCTCTGTCCCCAACCCCGGGAGGGCGGCGTCTCAGGGCAGGACAGGGAAGTCTCCCTCACTTGTCCCCTGCAACAGGGGCTGAGCCACAACCGACTGTGGATCTCGGCAGCGACAGTGAGGAGGGAGTCTGCAGCGAGCAGGGGAGGAGAAGGGGAGGACCAGGATGAGGTCAGGGAGGGGAGCGGAGATAGGGCAGGTCCTCCCACCCCTCCCAGGCCCTCCCACATGCCACCCCTCCTCTTCTCCTGCCCCCACCCCAGCCCCCACTCCCTGTCTAGCATCACTGTCTCACCATACCCTCATCTCAACCCCCAGCCCCGGTCTTACCTCCCACGTCCTTTCCCTATGCCATTTTTAGCTCACCCTAATTTTTGCCCAACTTGACACCCCCCACCCTTCCTGCCATTTCTTTTTTCCCCACCATTTCTCCACCTGCTGCCCCTCCTCTCTGACCCCAGTGGTTTCCTCTCAGCCTATATCCTTCCTCATGGCCAGCCCCCTTCCCCTCCCTCCCCCATGCTCCTCTCCCATCTCTTCCCAGCCACTGCTCTAGCTTGGATCTCTGGATCGCACCCCATGTCTATCACCCAGTGCTGGCTCCCTCATCCTCTCACCAGTTCTCCCCTGGCAGTCTGGGGCAGGGAGCAGGGGCAGAGGGCAGGAGGCAAGAGGCAACCTCTTTCTCCAACTGGGACCGTCTCTGGGACCCCAAGTCCCCACCCTGCTCCAGTCCCACCATTTCTATCTTCTCGGCTTATCCCGTCCCCGAGCCACTCCTGCTGTCTGTTCTGTTCAGTCCCTCTCCTGTCACTGCCCCCTTTGCATTCTCCTACCTCAGCAAGTCCCTAGAGAAAGAGCAGGTGAGGCTTGGGCACTGGCAGGGCAAGGGCTTGGGTGAACACTGGGACATACAAGCCTTGGGGAGGAAGCTGGGGTTGGGGCGGACAAGGAAGGAAAGCCTGAAGGTTAGGAGGAAGGTTTAGGGTTGAAGAAAGGGCTAGAGACAGGAGGCAAATATAAGGGTGGGTCACCTGAATAGAGGGTGAAGTGGTGGAAAGCAGGGTGGGGGGCTGGTGCCTGGGTGCTGCGGGGGAGCAGGAACAGAGGCGGGGAGAGGTAGGGGCTGGAGGAAACGGACACGCTGTCTCTGGTCCCAGGCAGAAGACTGACAGCCAGAGGACAGGGGGGACAGGGAGACAGACACACCCCACATAAGTCTGTTGGGTGTTTCCCTAGCTTCATCTCCCCATGTGCTGCCCTGACAAGGAGCTGAAAAAGAGACTTTGCTACAGAGGAGAAATATCCCAGCTGAGTGGGAACCCACTACCCCCAGCTTCACAGTGAGGACTGGGTCTCTCTATCCTGCTACAGACCTCACCACTGAGGTGTAACTTGGCCAAGTCACGGGTGAAAGGTACGTGAGGGAGCCCATATGTGCTTGATTCTGCCACATGGGTGACGGCCCAGGTGTCTGCACACCAGGTCAGATCCCCATGGTGGCAGGTGTGTGGTGTTCCTGGGTCAGGGCGTGCCTGCACTGCATGTGGCTGTGGCCAGATGCCCAGTAAGCTCCATGTGGCCGAGGGCAAAGGCACACATGGGCTTTTGCGTGGGTGTCCCCGTGTGTGTCCGTGTGTCTGGGTGTGTGTGGCTGTTTTTTTCCTGGCTTTGATGGGGAGGATGAAGTCAGCATCTTGGACAGAGCCAGGCTCAGCTTCCTTCCTCTGCCTTGGCCTGAAGCCCCCAGAGCCAGCAGTAGGTAGCAGCTTCCCAAGGATCTCCTGGCAGGAGGTGGGGAGCCCTGCAGTGATAGGAAGAGGGAGGGTCTGGAGACAGTATCACACAGAGGGCAGAACACAGGGTATGAATTTCCTCTGACACCTTCAGATTTCTGTTCCATGGTCATATCCTTTAGTGTGTGTGTGCACGCGCGTGTGCCTATGCCCTATGTCCTGGCTTTATTATTTAGGAAGAATGGTCAACATAAGTACATTTGGCACAGAGAGTGGCCAGGGACCTCAGAGAAGACAGCAAGAAGGATGGTCCTGGGATGTTCTGGAAGCCCACTGTTGGGGTCTCAGAGAGAAATGTGGGATTCCAGATGTACACAAGCTTATAAGGCATTTGGGGAAGCCACTGGAAGCTTAGCAGATATAGTTTCAGGTTCTGAAATTATCTTTGTTTACCATTTGATTCACCCTTTGGTTTCCAGGCTCATGGAGAAGCTCATGTCTTGTATGTTCACATCTTGTAAGAAAAGCACCAAGCCTTGCACAGTGTAGGTGACCAATAAATGCAAGTCAACACTGAAATGTGAAAGGACTGGGAGAGAGGAGGGGGAAAGGGTAAGGAGCCCAGGCGTGAAGGCAGGGAAGCCCAGTGGTCAGAGCTGGGGTTGGCTTCACTGAGGTGTCTGGGTGGTGGTGGGTAGAAAGGTCAGTGTTGTCCAGAACTGTCCACAAGCTCCGGCTGTTCTCTGTAACCTCAGTCCCTGTGTCTTCAGCTCTGAGCCTCCCTCCTTGAATGATCCTCCAAGTTCCTGTCCTGACCTCAGGAGGAAAAGGGATGAAAGATAGAGAAAAGGAAAGGAAAGATAGGGAGGAGAGAAGGCAGACACATAAGAGTAAGGGCAATTGAGGGCAAGGACCTGAAGGATGAAGACAGGGGAACAAGAGATGCCAGGGGCTGCGGTCCAAGAAAGCAGTCCCAGAGAGGGGAAAGATAGAAAACACTTGTGCCGGGCTTCCGTTTACAAAACAGTTTCCTACACAGTGCGGGCATTAATCCCACTTTGTGGCTGAGGAAACGGAGGCTCATAGACATTAAGGGTCTTGTTCAAGGGGCTAAGTCAGTAGTGGTGAAGGTGGGTCTCACCCAGGTGTTCTCATTCCTAAGCCTGTATTCGCTCTTCTCCCCAAACAACTCCAGGAAAGGAAAGGATTGAAGACTTAGGGAACAAATGAAGTGGCTTCTTTGAAGCACTTGTACAAAGAAGGGTGGAGAATCCAGATTTTTGAAACTTTTCTGCATCCAGTTATTGTGTAGATTCACTTAGAAGAAATGGCATCAGATGGGGAAGGGGGTGGTCAACATTCCATTATTGAGAACTGGGGGTCGGGTGAGGATGGGGAACACAGAATGTAAAGACAGAGCGCAGGATGAAAGATGGGAGAGAACTAAGAGGCTACAGCTGAAAAGGGGGCAAGGGAGCCTCAGAAGGAAGGGTTTGGACCCTTAAAACTTCCTTTGCCTAGAGACATGGGTGTGGGGAGAAGGGAGGAGGAAGGACATTTCTATCTCGTGACAAAAGAAAGTCACACAATTGTTTTGTTCTCTGCTCTGAGGCGGGTGGGCGCCTGTATTTACCAGAGGGACCCAGGTCGCTGTGGCAACCACACATCTGGGCCCCGGAATCCAGATGTGCTGTATCCAGAAGCCATAGCAGAACGATGAGGCAAACATCAGGCTCCCCAGTGCTGGCCCCCACAGCTGGGAAGAGGATGGAGAACTGGTGTGGGAAGTAAAGGGAGTGGGGGAAGGAAGGAGGAGGAGAGGACCAAAGTGGGGGAAAAGAGAGGACATAATGGAAAGGGGCAAGAAATGTGGACGAGGGAGCAGAATGGGAAATAGAAAGGGGGCGGCATGAGAAAGGGAGGAGACAAGCACAGGGTCAGCAGCAGCAGCAGATGAGAAGACCAAGAAAAACAAAGGAAAAAGACAGTGAATTTAAAAATATATATATATTTTTAAATAAGGCCAGCACGGTGGCTCATGCCTGTAATCCTAGCACTTTGGGAGGCCAACATGGGAGGACTGCTTGAGGCCAGGAGTTCAAGACCAGCCTGGGTAACATAGCGAGACCCCACTTCTATTTTTAAATTAAAAAAAAAATTTAAGACAGTGAAGCAGTGGATGGGGTGGGGAAGATACAAAAGAAGAAAAAAACAGTGATGAATAATGGTTCAAAAAGAGGTTGTGATAACTGCTAATGAGGTAGAGAGCAAAGAAAGGCAGGAAAGAAGTCTAGAAAGAGGAAGGGAGGGATGATGAGGTCAGGGATGAGAGAGAACAAAAGGTGGGATCCTGAGGAAGAAATGAAGGAGATGGTGGCACAAGGAAAGCAGAACAGAAAGACAAAGTGGGCATAGGGCAGGAGGGGCCAATGAGGTGCAGGAGTGACAGCGACCTGGCATGCTGAGTGGACTTGGGGGTGTGGCCAGAGGAATGGAGATCCACATGGGCCTAGAAGGCAGCAGCCCAGAGCCTGCCCGGCTTTCACCCTGCATCAGGTACCCACTCACCGTCCTTCTCAATCCTTCCTGCCACCACAATCCCTCAGCCAAGAGAGGTCTGATGTCTCATCCACACCAAAGTGCCAGCTGTCCCTTGCCAATCAGCAGAGGAGCAGGATGTCCCACCCCAGGGTGACCCCTGAGATGCCAGCACTTCAAGTACTTTCCCGAACTGGGGGCAGGAAGGAGGAAGACAATGGGACAACGAAACAGTAATGAACCCAAATGGGATAAAAGTGGAAGAGAGAAGGACAACAGAGATGGGGACAGAAAGGGGCAAGGGATGAGGAAAAGGTGTATCTATTATGGACCAGGCACTGAGGACGTCGTCTTTCATCCTGTCATCAACCCTGATTAGGAGGTAGGAACATCCCATCTTACAGATAAGCAAACTAAGGCTCAGAATGTTTAAGGACATCTACTAACGAAAGGCAGGGTAGGGAATCCAGCTTAGGTGATGTGCTTCCAAAATCCTTGTTCTCACTGCACCCCCTCCAGAGATACGGTGGATAAGGCTCAAGGACTCTGGGATAGAAAGCATAGCTGAGAAGCTGGGCTGCCCTCTGGAGGGAGGAAAGGTCTAGTTCCTGGGATCCCTGGTTCCAGGTTGCCATAGTTACTTGGTCTGTTTTCACCCCAAACACAGTAATGGGTGAGGGCAGTGGGAGGGGTGTGGGGGTTGCCTGGCTGGACACATGAGGTTCTTCCTCCCTCCTTCAGGCCTGGGCTTATGGCCCAGGCAGCCCCTGTCCAGTCATCTGGGCATTGAGCCCAGGCCCAGCTCACACCCTCCAGCTGACCCAGGACACTCCTGCAGGGTCAGGCCTGAGGCACTGCTGAACAGGAGCAGCTGGAGGGGGATTCTTCCAGGTTGGCCTCAGACTCAATCCCTCACTTTGTCCTGCTCCCCTTCCTCCTAATTAGAATGCACAGCCTAGCCAGGCATGGTGGCTCACACCTGTAATCCCAGCACTTTGGGAGGCCGAAGTGGGCAGCCTGGCCAATATGGTGAAACCCTATCTCTATTAAAAATACAAAAATTAGCCGGGTGTGGTGGCGTGCACCTGTAGTCCCAGCTACTTGAGAGGCTGAGGCAGAAGAATCACTTGAACCCAAGAGGCGGAGGTTGCAGTGAGCCAAGATCGCGCCACTGCACTCCAGCCTGGGTGAGAGAGCAAGACTCCGTCTCAAAAAAAAAAAAAAAATTAAAAACATAAGAATGTACAGCTTTTTCTGCCTGCCCCACTCTTGTCTTTGTCTTTCATCTGGACTCTCAAGTCTCAGTCCCCTCCAGTTTAGGGCTTAGAGGATATCCTGCCACATCCCCCTTCCCTTCCAAATATCACCCCTTCTTCACCGAGACCCCCACTTCCTGGGCTCTGAGCCTCTGGCCCCAGCTCTTGTTGTTTGTTTGAGCTGCTCATCCTGGACAGCAAGAAGAGGGGGAGAACCTGCTCGAGAGCAGGAGACCCAGAGGCTGCTCACCCTGAAGGGCGTGGGGCCCCATCTTTCCTGTTGACTCACATTCCAGGGATGCGTATCCTCTAGTCTGTCACGCCATGAGACATCGTTGCTAGACACAGATATACCCCAGAGTTGCAGGGGTGGGGGCAAGGGGATGACATGCGGTCTGTGATCCCGCACCCACCCCACCTCAGAGCCAGCTATGTCTTCAGTGCTTGATTCTTTGATGCTGGCTCTGGAAAAGCCACTTTCCCCCAAACTCCCCATCACGAGCCAGGAAGGCAGCCACCATTCCTTCAACTCCCTCCAAGTTGTTTATTTAATAATAATAAAAAAGAAATGCACACACATAAACCTGAACTCCCCCCCACCCCACCCTCCCTTACTCCCAGTAACTAGCTCCAAAATGAAAAAACTTCCCTTGTCCCACCTGGGGACTAAATTCCCACCTCCACTGCCATAACACTAGAGAAACAAAATAAAAAATATGCAGCAGCTCACCACCCACCCCACAACTGAACCTCACACAATCCCCTCAAACAAAGAAGCCGGGACTGGGGGTTCACAGGAATGAGAGGAGCCCTATATTCTGAAAAGGGATGAGAAGAGAGGTGAACACCCCCACCTCAAATAAGTGCTTAACCCCCACACCTGCTCTTTCCTTTACCAATTGCCCCAAGCCTGGGGATCAGGGAAATTTGAAACAGTCCCACCTGGCCACCTGGTACCCCCTCCCCCCGTTCTAAGTCAGTGTGAATGGCAGAGGTCAGGGATGATTGAGGTAGAGGGGCTGGTGGGAGGCCTGGTGGGCCTGGCTGGCTGCAGAGACTGGCAAGGGGCCACCTGTGGCATTGCCTGGGGTTGGGGATGGCTGTTTTCGGAGCGAGGGGGGCACTGTGGAGGTCTTGATGTGAATCACCCTGGTGTCCATGACCTCACACTCGATCTGCATCATCTCCTCATAGTCCCCCGGGGCCCCACGGCCTGACAGGGTCTCTGTGAGAAGGGGAGAGTTAAGGAAGAGGAGATGGGGAGGCAAACAGGGATTGCAGGGAGGAGGGGAGGAGGTCAGAAAAGTAGAGGTGAGCAGAGAGAAAAAGAAAGGGCAATAGTGAGGAGGCAGATCCATAGCGGGAGTTAAACAGGATGGCAGGGACAGAGTTTGGTGCAGGGGCAAGGAGAGGGTAGGAAAAGAAAAGGGCATTGAGTGTGGGGTCACACAGGAGAGGACATCAAGAGAAAAAAGTAAGTGAGAGTCTAGCAGGTTCCCGGCCCCCCGCCTCTGCCCAGTCATCTACCCAAGCACCTTCACCAGGGAAGGACCCTCACCCTTGTCTCCCTCCCAAGTCTCCTGCATGGTGCTCTTCCCTCCACCTACTTCCTGCTGCTTCTCACCTGTGGGTCCAGCAGCTCTCTGGATGCCCTGCTCCTCTCCCCCTTCCCCCTCAGCTCCCAGGCTGGATCTCCCTGTTGGAACTGCCCCCATACCCAGCAGGGAAAGAGTTACCATTGGGGGCCATGGCAGGCATCACCAGGGACATCTTGGGCCGGGAGGTCTTGTTGTGGCTGATGGCTGGGAGCAGCAGGTGGTCCTGGGGAACAGATGGGCCAGGCCAGAAGGGTGGAGGCAAAGATGCCAACAAGCTCCCCAGCCCTACTCTACATCCCCCCACTGAAGACAGACTGCTGGGAACCTGGGGTGACAGAGATGGAAGGGCAGGAGAAACTCACCCTTCGGAAAGAGACAACATAAAATGTGTCTTCCCGTCGGTCAATTGCATCCAAGAATGCTGGCTGCGAACGGTCTGGGTGGCGATATAGTTGCAGCTGGCCCACAGAATCCCTAGGCAGGTGGGGAAACAGGATTTGAGGGGAACTAAGCCCAATGCTCAGTTTCTACCAGGGAAGCGGGTAGGATGAGAGAAAAAGACAGGAGACCCCCAGTGGAGGAGGGAGGTATAATCCCACTGGTGACAGTAATGACAGGCACAGGACAGCTACTGGGGGTACAGCTCTTGAAAGTGGAATTTCACTTAATAAGTAAGCACCCCACCCCACACTCACCTTTCTGGGGGTCCAGGGGGTTGGATGGGGACTGCCTTAACTGGAGGTGACTTCTTCCGTGGCTGAGACTTCTGGAAGGAGAAGTATCTAAGGACTTGGAGAGGGTGAAGGGAAAAGGGAAAGAGACAAACAGCCCCTGGAAGCTGATGCCACCTCCCACTCAACCCTCCACTTCCTTCAAACGATCCCTCAAACTTCCACAGCGAGATGCCCACTAGAAATCCCCAGACAAGGCCTTTAGCCCTTGTCTTCAAGTGGCCTTCCTTGAACCAGCCACCCGCCCTACCTGTCTCTCCTGGGCCCTCTGAGGGATCTTCCTCCGGCCTCTCTGGTGGCGCTGGACCCAGCCACTCAACTCGTCAGCAAGCCTGGGGAAATGGAGGAGCTCAGGACCTCCATGCCAGGCCAAGATTCCCACCCTCCTTGCCCACCCACAGGAGTGAGGAGAGGGCAGGGAGCACTGGTGCTTTAGTACACAGGCCAGCCAGGCTGACTGCAGAAGGCCTTGGGAGGCCGGGGGAGCTGGATGCCCCAGCAATGAATCCCACACCTCAGGGACTCAGTGCGGTTGAAGTGCCGGCAATCAGAGGAGAGGAAGAGCTGGTCTAGGTCTCTTAGTAGTAGCTCCTTGGCGCCCCCAGGGAAGGCTGTCAGGTTGCTGGAGTGAAGCAGGAAGGAGACAACACTTGGAGACTGCCCAGCACTCCCACAACAAAGAAGGCGATGACGGCAAGAGAAAGCTTTGGGTCCCCCTCACTGAAAGCGGGGAGAAGACCAACTCATACCCTCAAACGAGAGGGGGCCCTCTCTCTCTCTCCTCACCTGAAACTGGGCTGGTCTGTGGGGCTGGGCTGGGGCTCCTTAGGGCCCTGGGAGGACCCCTGGAGAGGTTCAACTCCCTGAACTGGCTCTTGCTCTGAGAACCCCAGCAAGTGTCTCCGGGGTTGAGGCTCCCCCTTGTTCATCCGAGGAGAGATGGGAGCTGAAGGAGGCTCACTGATGCTGTGGATAAAGAAGGACTGAGCACAATGAAGAATTTCAGCTGTATCAAGTATCTAGGTAAGAATAAAGACTCTGCAGATGGACTGCTTGAGTTGCAATCTGTTATACAAGCCTGAGTCTGCCTCTGTAAGATGGGAATAAGGATGGTCCCTACATACAAAAAAGACAGTGCATCACCTAGAGCCTAGAACTCAGTAAGCACTTAATAGTCACTATTTCTACCAGCATTATCACCATCATCTACTCTCCACTGGAAAAATAATGGAGCAGGAGGCCGGGCGAGGTGGCTCAAGCCTGTAATCCTAGCACTTTGGGAGGCTGAGGTGGGCAGACTGCCTGAGCTCAGGAGTTCGAGACCAGCCTGGGCAACAACAGTGAAACCCTGTCTCTACTAAAAAATACAAAAAATTAGCCGGGCATGGTGGCGTGCGCCTGTAGTCCCAGCTACTTGGGAGGTTGAGGCAGGAGAATCACTTGAACCCAGGAAGCAG
This sequence comes from Homo sapiens, assembly GCF_000001405.40. Classification (NCBI taxonomy): domain Eukaryota; kingdom Metazoa; phylum Chordata; class Mammalia; order Primates; family Hominidae; genus Homo; species Homo sapiens. The sequence goes on from NT_167245.2 coordinate 3,359,896, forward strand.
AGGTTGCAGTGAGCCGAGATCGTGCCACTGCACTCCAGCCTGGGCAACAGAACAAGGCTCCATCTCCAAGAAAAAAAGACAAATAATGGAGCAGGAAGGGGCTGGCCAGACACATCATCGGTGCCAAGGACACCAGAACCATTTGTATATAAGCAGAAGGAAATGGCCTGGGCCAAAGCAGGCAGCTAGGAGGCTGTAACGTGGGCTCCACCTGGAAGGTTCTAGTGAAGCAAGGAAGGTCTCACCTGACAGGTCCAAAGTTGAAGGCAATGAAGAGAAGGAAGACCATGATGCAGACCACCTTCCTGTTTCCAGACCCTAACTTGAGCTCGCTGTTCTAAGGTACAAAGAAGGAGACAAGAAAAAGGGGAATCATTCCAAGGAGGCTGTATTCCTGTTGGTCTCCCAGGGACAGACTGGTCTTACTTCAGCCAGCAGGGCCTCCAGCCGCCGCCGGAGGGCAGCATTCTCTCGGCGGAGCTGCTGGTTGTCAGCCAGTACTGCTTGCAGCCGAGCCTCCAGTCCCTGCAGATACTCTTTCTTCTTTCTCCGGGACTGGCAGGCTGACTCCCGGTTCTTGATCATTCGCTGCTGCCGCTTCAGCAGCTTTGCCTAGGCACCCGGAAGGTCAAAAAAGAATGACAGATGAGTTGGCAGAAGGAGACTATGCTCTCAAACCCCAAGGAATGATTTACCCAAAGCTCACATGGCCATTCCCCTGCCTTCCTGACCCACCTACATAGCCAGAGAGGTTTTTCCTCTCTACTCAAACACGCTAGGGAAGGGGCCCTTCTTTCAAACATTCCCTGCTACTGCTCCTCAGAGGTGGGAAAGGTTAGAGTGTGGGAAGAACTTTCTCCATGCTGGTGGAAACTCTTTCCTTCGTAACTCTTTCTTCCTGTCAGCCCACATTTGTAGGGTTCAAAGTTTAACCTTGTTATACTGCTTATACAGTTTACCTGATTTTCCCCTAGGAGGCAGCCTCCCTCCCCAACTATGGCCATGACCGTAGTCGTATAGTACAGTACGACTTCCTTGCCTTTAATTTATGGAGACCAACCCCATTTCTCCATCTGCAGTGACAGCAAACCTAAAGGACCCTAAAACTACCTGGAGTTGATATTCATATAGAAACAGGAGTCCATTCTGACCCTCAGAATGATCTAATGGGTCCGTTTCCTCACTTTTTTCTCCTAGGTATCGACTCCCTCCTCATCCCACAGTTCTCTCTATGGCAAGACTTCCCTCTTCCCTTCCCATCACTCGCCCTACTTCTCTCCTCCCCAACACTTACATCCACTTCAGGCGGGCAGGAGTTTCCAGGCATAGGAGCGGGAACGATGCTCTTCCTCTCAGGCCGTGGTAGAGAGGGAGCCGGCCCTTCAGGCTGGACTCGAATAGCACCCTGGATGAGGACAACTGGGGACACTGGGGCAAGTGAGCAGAGGTCAGAGGGCTGTGCGCTGGGTGGGGTCCTTGTGTCCACACCCACACAAGAGCACCCAAGGATTGGGCAGCCTCAATGGCTGCAAGCTCTCTGACAGGGTCAATGCAGCCCGCCTCCTTTTCTCCTTTTTTTCTTTTTTGAGATGCAGTCTTGCTCTGTCGACCAGGCTGGAGTGCAGTGGTGCGATCTCGGCTCACTGCAAGCTCCGCCTCCCGGGTTCACGCCATTCTCCTGCCTCAGCCTCCCCAGCAGCTGGAACTACAGACGCACGCCACCACGCCTGGCTAATTTTTTTGTATTTTTAGTAGAGACGGGGTTTCACTGTGTTAGTCAGGATGGTCTCGATCTCCTGACCTTGTGATCCGCCTGCCTTGGCCTGCCAAAGTGCTGGGATTACAGGCGTGAGCCACTGTGCCTGGCCTTTTTTTTTTAATTAATTAATTAATTTTTATTTTTATTTTTTGGTTTTTCTTTTTTCTTTTTTTTTTTTTTGAGACAAAGTCTCGCTTTGTCGCCCAGGCTGGAGTGCAGTGGCATGATCTCGGCTCACTGCAACCTCCGCCTCCTGGGTTCAAGTGATTCTCCTGCCTCAGCCTCCCGAGGAGCTGGGATTACAGGCGCCTGCCACCACTCCACGCTAATTTTTGTATTTTTAGTAGAGACAAGGTTTCACCACGTTGGCCAGGCTGGTCTTAAACTTCTGACCTCAGGTGATTCGCCCGCCTCAGCCTCCCAAAGTGCTGGGATTACCGGCGTGAGCCACCATGCCCGGCCCTTTTCTCCTTCTTCAGTACCTGGGGGTGGCTGGACGAGGGACTGCAGAAGGACTGTGGTGCTGGGAGGCACAGCTCTGGATGGCATTGGGACAGTGGTTAGCACTACAGGTTTGGGCTGCAGTGGCGGCTTCCGGGTGGGCAGGGCTTTGCCTGAAGGAAGGTGAGAGAAAAGAACAAGAAATGTCAGGACCAAAGGCCTCTCACTAGGGATTCCAAGTGTCAGGAGACTCCATTACCTGAGGAGCCATCAAGGGATGGGCCCATGCTGATCTGGACAGCTCCAAGTGAGGGGGCTGGGACATCCCACAGGAGGCATCCTGAAGGGGACAGGGACTCTGTCTTCACTTCCAGGACCTCCTCTCCTATAAAAGCCTATGTGGGGCATTCCAGAGATACATTAGTCAGGAAGAGTGTCGAGGAGAAGGAGCTGAAGAAGGGAAAGCTCTCATACCTCTAGGTCAGGAGGAACTCACTGGAAAACCTGGAGGAAGGAAGGAAGGTGGTGCTCACCTGGCTGGAGGAGTCGGCTGAGAGCAGGGAGGCCTCAGAGTTGACGGAAGAACATGGAGAGACAGGTTCTATCTTGGTCTGGACATCTGTGGGAGGCAGGATGAGGCAAAAGCTGGATATCATGTAAACACTGAAGGGTTAAGAGGGTTAAGATGGGAGGCTGGGCATGGTGGCTCACGCCTGTAATCTCAGCACTTTGGGAGGCCAAGGCGGGCAGATCACCTGAGGTCAGGAGTTCAAGACCAGCCTGACCAACATGGAGAAACCCCGTCTCTACTAAAAATACAAAATTAGTCGGGCATGGTGGCGCATCCCTGTGTCCCAGATACTCAGGAGGCTGAGGCAGGAGAATCGCTTGAACCTGGGAGGCAAAGGTTGCAGTGAGCCAAGATCGCGCCATTGCACTCCAGCCTGGGCAAGAAGAGCAAAACTCCATCTCAAAAAAATAAAAAAGAGGGTTAAGATGGGGAAATGGGTCCTTTCTCTTTGAACCTGAAAATAAAACTCTTCTGGCCCTAGATTACAGGCCATCCAGGAGGGGCAGTCACAGAGCTGCTCACCTGCTGGCTCTCCGCCCCGCTTTTCGCCTAGTGCTTCCCTTTCTCCTTTAGTGGCTCCTCTGATTTTTCTCATCCCTGCTCCATGTTCCTCAAAGCTGTCTTTGCCCTTCTGCGTTTCCCTCTTTCTTGTTCACAGAACTTGTCTATTCACATAGAATAGGCCTGAGCAGGGGAAGTGGCAGGGGGGTCTCCAGCATTCACATGGCCCAAATTCCTATCTTGCTGGATTTCCACCTTATCCCTGCCCAATGCATCTCCATGCTGACAACCGCCAAGTGTGCATCTCCCCCTGGCTGCTCACCTGCACCAGATTCTGACTTCCAAGCTGCCTGCTGGTCCCTTCCATTCTCATGCCTCACCAGTCACCCAAATCTAACTGGCCATAAATGAGGCTTCCTGATTGCCCCGTCACACAAGTTTTCCTCCCAGGCACCAAACAGCAAAGCCTCAGTCACCTCTGAGCCTCCATGGCCTCCAATAAATCTGCCTTTATGACTTGTTGATCACTCCATGAAAGAAAATGCTAGGCCCCATGTCGGTGAAATAAAACCCTTCTGAGGGCCAGATTCAGCCCACAGGTCAACAGTCCACCACTACCTCTGGTCCATACCGTTCACTTTGGTACTTAATTATATGATCACTAAGATTGCTTTTTAAAACTTCAATTTATATTTTTGAATAGATAATACAGTCATGATACAAATCCAAACGAACAAAGGAAAATTAAGTCAAAAAAAAAATCTTGGCGGGGCACGGTGGCTCACGCCTGTAATCCCAGCACTTTGGGAGGCCGAGGCAGGTGGATCACGAGGTCAGGAGATCGAGACCATCCTGGCTAACACGGTGAAACCCCGTCTCTACTAAAAAAATAGAAAAATTAGCCAGGCGTGGTGGCGGACGCCTGTAGTCCCAGCAACTTGGGAGACTGAGGGAGGAGAATGGCATGAACCCAGGGGGCGGAGCTTGCAGTGAGCCGAGATTGCGCCACTGCACTCCAGCCTGGGTAGAGCGAGACTCTGTCTCAAAAAAAAAAAAAAAAAAAACTTCCCTTCCCGGTCCTCCAGTCACTCAGATTCCCTACACAGAGATAACCACTATCAGAACTATTTAACCATGGCTGGGCATGGTGGCTCACGCCTGTAATCCCAGCACTTTGGGAGGCCGACACCCAACGCAGGTGGATTGCTTGAAGCCAGGAGTTTGACACCAGCCTGAACAACATGGCAAAACCCTGTCTCTACCAAAAATACAAAAAAATAGCCGGACATGGTGGCACGTGCCTGTAGTCCTAGCTATTAGGGGGGCTGAGGCAGGACAATAGCTTAAACCCAGGAAACGGAGGTTGCAGTGAGTGGAGATCACGCCAATGCACTCTAGCCTGGGTGACAGGGCAAAACTCTGTCTCAAAAAAAAAAAAAAAAAAAAAAAAGGGAACTATTTAACCATGATGTATTATAACCCTCACAAAACTCTCCAAAAGCAAGAACTATGTCTCATGTCCATTGAGGGTAAAGTACAGGCCCTCAAAAAATACCTAAGTATGGAGGAGAATCTGACTCTAATAACACTATGCAATGCAAAGCCACCAACAATCCTTACAATCCTTTTGCTGCTAATAGCAGTGGGCGATCTCGGCTCACTGCAAGCTCCGCCTCCCGGGTTCACCCCATTCTCCTGCCTCAGCCTCCCGAGTAGCTGAGACTACAGGTGCCTGCCACCATGCCTGGCTAATTTTTTGTATTTTTAGTAGAGATGGCGCTTCACTGTGTTAGCCCGAATGGTCTTGATCTCCTGACCTCGTGATCTGCCCGCCTTGGCCTCCCAAAGTGCTGGGATTACAGGTGTGAACCACTGTGCCTGGCCTGCTAATGGTATTTCAATCCTTATTTTGTGTATCTTTTTTATAACATGTATTAATCTGCTAGATATAATCTGTTTGTCCCTCCAAATCCACTTTCCATCCCTCCCTGCTGTGCTCCCTGAGATCCAGGGAGAATCTGAATGGACTGCATCAGCGGGCTCCCTGGTTGGAGTTCAGCCAGTGAGAGATGGTGCCAGGAGATCCAGAAGGTACTTTGAAATCAACAATCAACATGTCAACTGGGCATGGTGGCTTACGCCTGTAATCCCAGCACTTTGGGAGCCAAAGTGGGTGGATCACCTGAGGTCGGGAATTCAAGACCAGCCTAACATGAAAGAAGCCCTGTCTCTACTAAAAATACAAAATTAGCCAGGCGTGGTAGAGCATGCCTGTAATCCCAGCTACTCAGGAGGCTGAGGCAGGAGAATCGCTTGAACCCAGGAGGCAGAGATTACAGTGAGCCAAGATCACACCACTATTGCACTCCAGCCTGGGCAACAAGAGTGAAGCTCCATAACAACAACAACAACAGAATCAACATGTCCAACGCTGAATTCATCATCTTCCCTGACCAGAAAGCCCCTGCTTTTGCAGTCTCCATCCAGTGAACAGTAACATCACCCACCCACAGCCATCCTAGCCACAAACCTCTTTGACTCCTACCTCTCTCCAATGTCCAGGAGGTCACAACTCATCTATTCCACTTCATTCTTTCTCAAGTCTGCTTTCTTCATGACATCCGAATATCTTACTTGATCAACTGCATAAGCTTCTTCCTTGGTTCTCTTGCCTCTGGCCCTGCCCCTCTGCAACCCATTCTCTACTTTGCCACTAGAATCATCTTCCTAATCATATTACTTCCCTGCTTAATTCTCCAAAGGCCCCCACCTATCCACAGGATAAAAGCTAAGAGCCCCTTAGCAGGGGCCCCACCTGGCCCTGTAGCCCCTGCAGTTCCACATCACTCCCCAAATCCTTCTTACATCCACTCTGAAGAAATGCAGGGTCCTCAGACACAAGTCAACCCCCACACTGTCCTCCTGGCTAATTTCTACGTGTCCTTTAAAACTCTCAGGAAACCCTTCTTCCAGGGGCACATCCCAGATTCAGCGCCAATGTGGATGAAATGTCCCCTCTTATGAGCTTTCATGGTACCCTCTAGTGATTTTTTTTTTTTTTCCAGACGGAGTCTTGCTCTTTTGCCCAGGATGGAGTGCAGTGGCGTGATCTCGGCTCACTGCAAGCTCCGCCTCCCGGGTTCATGCCATTCTCCTGCCTCAGCCTCCCAAGTAGCTGGGACTACAGGCTAATTTTTTGTATTTTTAGTAGACACGGGGTTTCACCATCTTAGCCAGGATGGTCTCAATCTCCTGACCTCGTGATCCGCCCACCTCGGCCTCCCAAAGTGCTGGGATTACAAGCATGAGCCACCACACCCAGCCCCACCTCTAGTGATTTCTATCCTAGAATGACCACACCTGTATTGACTGGTACTTGTCTTTCTCCCATTACCAAATCACAGGGTTTGAAAGTCAGCATGGTGGTCAGGTCTTGTTCATCTTTGCATTCCCAGCATGCTGCTCAGTATCTGGCATGGAGTAGGTGCTTAATAAATATTTCTTTTTTATAATTATTATACCTCAGATATGATCACATCAATAAACATTTACTAAATACACAGCTACGAGTAAATAAACTTGGGAACACTTTAAAAATAGAACAAATAATGTTAATTGTAGAATCTAGTTTAGTATATGGTGTTCTAGCCTTTCTGTATGTTTAAAAATGTTTATGGGCTGGGCGCGATGGCTCACGCCTGTAATCTCAGCACTTTGGGAGGCGGAGGTAGGCGACTCATGAGGTCAGGAGTTCAAGACCAGCCTGGCCAACATGGTGAAACCCCATCTCTACTAAAAATACAAAAAATTAGCTGGGCGTGGTGGTGGGTGCCTGTAATCCCAGCTACTTGGGAGGCTGAGACAGGAGAATCACTTGAACCTGGGAGGTGGAGGTTGCAGTGAGCTGAGACCACACCACTGCACTTCAGCCCGAGCGACAGTGTGAGACTCTGTCTCAACAACAACAAAAATGTTTATAATAAAATGTTGGGTGGAGGGGAATCACACAGATACATATGCCCTAAACTGCTCACAAGTTTTTAAAAAGTAAGTTGAATGGCATGACAGAATACTAGGAACAAGAAAAAGAGAGAAAAATAATATCCATCTCCTCAGCACTGCCCTTGCTGTGGTTCCCTGAAATGTTTCCTCTCCTTCCTGCCTTCCCTCCTGGTTTTCTGCCATTTCCCCTCCCCACCTTTTTCTCCCTGTCCTGCTGCCTGCACTTCCCCTCCATCTACACACATACACACACACACATAACACATTCTCCCGTAGTAGAGCCAAGGATTGGGGGCAGGCTGTTTTATTACCTGAGGAATCATCAGAGGTGGGGATAACGTTGATCTGGACGGTTTCAAATGAGGATGTTGGGTCATCTCCCAGGAGACACAGTGGGGGTGCCAAGGACTCTGTCTTCACATGGAGCACCTCCCCTACCCCAAGAGCCTGGGTGAGAGTTGGTGTGGGGCAGGGGGCAGAAAGAAGGGCAAAAAACAAGGGAGATGTTGACAGTAAGAGCGAGAACAAAAGCTTTAGAAGTTTAGGGCTTACAAGCCATCAATTATTTGACATTCTGGTCTGAATGGTACTGACCATCTTTCTAACCTGTTCATTCTTTCTACTTTATTTCTGGGAGAATTGATGAAGTCTCATGACTTCAAATATGGCCTCAGAGTGGACAACTTGGGCAAGAACAGTTCCAGAATTCTCAGCAGTCAATAACTCTCTTCTTCCCAGCCCCACATAACTCTTTATATTAAAAAGACCCAAGATCAGGCGTGGTGGCTTATACCTGTAATCCAAGCACTTTGGGATGCCAAGGTGGGAGGATCACTTGAGCCCAGGAGTTTAAGTCCACTCTGGGCAACATAGGAAGACCCCATTTTTACAAACAATAAAAAAAATTAGCCAGACATGGTGGCATGTGTCTGTGGTCCCAACTACTCAGGAGGCTGAGGCAGGAGGATCACCTGAGCTCAGGAGGTCAAGGCTACAGTGAGCTGTGACCCCGTCACTACACTGTAGTTTGGGTGACAGAGGGAGGCCCTATCTCAAAAAAAAGCAAAAAACAAAAAACAAACAAACAAAAAAATCTTCACTGCTAGATAACCAAAGGGGATGTGGAAAATGAAGATATTAAGGAAACGGCAAAGGTAGTGGAGAAGGCCCCCCACACCTCACACACCTCATGACTCATAGCACACAAATCATTTAAATCATTTCTTTGTCACCCACGGGTGAAGGGAATGAAGCAGAGTCCCCGTCACAGAGAGTAAGAGGGATATGGCTCTCTCACCTCGCTGGATGGCTCTGTGGAGAGACGCGATGACTCGGAGCTGAGGGAGGAGGAAGAGCAGGGGGAAGATGGCTCAGACTTCACCTGAAGATCTGGAGGAAAGGGAGTTAGAAATTATCAGGAAGCAGAGCTTAAGAAGAGTCCAAAAAGTACCCAAGGACATGTCGGTGGGGATTCCTGTACCGCAGCAAGGGAGAAGAAACAAAAATAGGGGATTGAAGGAGAGAGGATAGGCACTTATGTAGAAGCGTGAGGATATAGGAAGCTACGTAGTTTCTGGGAAACAGTGGGAAGATGAGGGTTTCTGGAAATCTGAGGGAACGACAAAGACTACCTTACCTGGGAAGATCGGCAGGAGTTCCCATGGGGGCTCAGAGGGGCTGACATCCATCCCCACGTCCAGGGAGCTGCCGTCAAACTAAATAAGGGAGGATACAAGAGGGCAGGAGTGTGAGAAAGGATGAGAAAGTAGGGGTGACTCCAGATGAGTTATGGCCTGTGAATGGGTCCAGGTTCTGGGCTCACTTTCCACCCACCAAGGGTTAGAGAAAGGCTGGGGACACAATACCGGGACATCCTGCTCCGGGCAACGGAAGAGCTGCGTCTGCTCCTCGGCCACTTCATCTAGGCCAGAATACAAGGTGCTGTCTGCAAGAAATGCTGAGCGTCGGGGGGTCGTTCGGTGGCCCCAGCCTACAGATCGCACACAAGCCCCCGCCCCATCCCTCATTGGCTCCGCTCGGCCAGACCCACCGCCCGCCCACTTGAAAAGTGATACAACCAGGGCGCTTCAGCCCCTCCTTCCCCGACCCCGGAACAACTCGACGTTCCAGCAGGGAGCAGAGTTCTTCCCTGACTTTTGTATCCCCCTTAATGCACAACGAGCCCCCTGCTCCGCTCTCCTTCAGATGGCGGATTCCGTATTTGCCCAGACTTCCTCTTTAGGCCCCCGCTTCTTTCCCGCGTGCCTCAGGGACAGTTTGCCACAGCCCTCTCCCCTCCCCGGTGCCTCACTCTGCAGACCCCAGTCCTCCGGGCTAAGCAGGTTGTCGGTGAAGAAACGCGTCGGGTCAGCAATCTCGCTGAGCAGCATCAGCTCCGCCATCTTTCCCCCCCACCCCCCAACCAGGAGACGGTTCCCAAGGCCCGCCTCTCCCCATCACCAACTAATCAGTTGACTCTTTCAAAAAAGGGGGCGTCCCGGAAGCTCTACCGACCAGTAAGAGACCTGGGTGCTGAGCACGTGAATCAACAGATGCGGATGACTGTGTAGGCGGGCCCAATGGGAGCACAGCAGCAGGAAGTAACTTCCAGACAGTGCCATACCGCCAAGCGCATGCGCCAAACAGGCTCCAGTGATAAAGCGCCTGGGAGATGTAGTACCCAGTATTAAGGTCCACCATCTCCCCCAGCCACTACTAAGTTTAGTTTAGACAGCTTCTATGTGTCCTCGGAGATAGATAAGCCCCTCAAAAGGGGCGCACTGTGACCACTGCTACCTCCCCTAGGAAGCCAAAAGCTGAGAATGGGATATGGGCTGAAACCTTCCCTCTGGCCCCCCACCCCCAAATCTCACAGCACAGACCACAATTCACAAGTTCCTGTCTCTTTTAAGGTTTAACTTTTAATCAGCCAAACATCTTGCGCAGACCCTGAGCCAGCCCTGCATCCTGGTTCTTCCCCTGAATGACCACCTTCCCCAGTTCCTCCTGGGCTGCCCGGTTTTTGGGATCTATCGCCAGCACCTTCTTGAGGTCAGCAGTTGCTTTTTCCAGGTTCCCAAGGGCAGCCTGGGCAACCCCCCTTCGGTATAAGGCCTTTAAATGGCCAGGCTCCCGCTCCAACACCCGGTCACAGCTCTGGGCTGCCAACTGAGGCTGCCCTAGCAACAACTGACAGGCAGCCAGATTGGCATGAAGGACAGTTCGTTCTGGAGGGCCAGGTGGGGGTAAAGTCAGGAGCAGCCGAAGAGCCCGTCCATAGCATCGGGCAGCTCCTTCAGGGTTCCCAGCTCGAAATAGTTCTGTGCCCCTTGCACGTTCTTCCCTGGCCAGGGCTTCCTTCTCGCTAGTCTCCAGCTCCCAGGAGTCTCGGCCTTGAGTGAAGGATGCCAGTGTGAGCCTGACAGGAGGTCCAGAGTGCCCAGGCAGCTGAAGCTCTGCTTCCTCACCTTGACACATGGACTCCAAGCATTTCTCTATGAGCTCCCCCCAAGTTTCCTCCCTCCATGGCCCTACGCCCATAGTTAGCTCTGTCCAGCCCTCTGGCGGCCCTGATCCGAAAGGAAACCCCAAAGCCAGTACCCGGCAGCAGGAGCCTAGTTTGGGTTTGTCCAAGCCATGGCCACGGATTACGATCTTCTTGACAAAGCTCCCATCGGGGCAGTACCAGAGATCAGAAGCTTGAAGGGTCTCTGGCATCTGACTGGTTGATCCATGAGACTTATGAGAGTCTCCTTCAAGTTCAGCAACCAGTTTTTCAGCTCCTTGAGTATGCTCTAGAATTTGGCTGGCTGGATCTGGGCTTACTTCCAGCTCAAGCGTTTCGGTAGGAGGGTCTCGGGGCTGCTGCCTAATCTGAATAACTGAATCAAGGTTCTCCCGAAGGTTCTTTTCCCACTCTTGTTGCGGCTGAGAGGTGTCCTTTTCTCCAATTGTATTGACTGGTGGCGTCTCCATATGGATGCTTAGTCCCTTCCACGGTGAGTGAACAGTTTTGGTCAGAAAGGGATGAACCAGGTTCAGGTCAGCACCTGAAAAGAAAACCAAACAATGCTAATAGCAGGGTTCTTATTTAGACTCCTTTCTCGTCCTTTCCCATTCTTCTGAGACCCAGGCCCCTAGTCCTGAAAGTCCCCAGTTTTGCTTTCCTCCAAAAATCTGCTCCAGCTTCCCCGTTCCACCCACATATAATTTAGAACTATAAATTCCACAATTCCCTGCGGTTAAGGTAGCCGCGCCAACTACGGACACCCGGTCGGGTCAATAAGTACCTGCGCGGCCAAAGTGCCTAGCATGGTGACAGGAGGAGCCGGGCCATTCGAATCACCTCTCCTTCCAAAGCTAAATGGCTACTGAATGCTGCCCTCGGAGCCTTGCCCCACACGGAGAGGGCAGCCGGAGAGGGGCGCGGTGCGGGAGGCGGGGGTAGGGGGCGGAACAACTGGGAAAGATACTGACAACTAACCCTGGAGCCCGCGAGACTCCGAATCTAGTCAAATTCCTGGCAGCCAATCGGGAGAAGGGAGGAATCTGGTTAGCCCGCCTATTGAACGTGACATCATTTCCTCCGCAACCATGAAGCTCCAGGCCTTAGCAACTGAACTAGGCCAGAGCAACCGAACTAGGCAGAATCGAACAGAATTTGGCGCGGTCGGGCTGGCCAGGCTGCTCAAGAGTCAAAGTGGGCCAACATGGTGAGACCCTGTCTCTACTAAAAATACAAAAATTAGTAGGTCATGGTGGCGCGCGCCTGTAATCCCAACTACTCGGAAGGCTGAAACAGGAGAATCGCTTGAACCCGGGAGACAGACGTTGCAGTGAGCCGAGATCACACCATTGCACTCCAGCCTGGGCGACAGAGCGAGACTAGAGACTCCGTCTCAAACAAAAAAAAAAAAAAAAAAAAAAAAAAAAGGTGGGCCGGGCGCGGTGGCTCACGCCTGTAATCCCAGCACTTTGGGAGGTTGAGGTCAGGAGTTCAAGACCAGCCTGGCCAACATGGTGAAACCCCGTCTCTACTAAAAATGCAAAAATAGCTCGGCGTGATGGCGGGCGCCTATATCCCAGCTACCCAGGAGGCTGAGGCAGGAGAATGGCTTACCTGGGAAGCGGAGGTTGCAGTGAGCCGAGATCGCGCCATTGCACTCCAGCTTTGGCAACTGAGACTCTGGGAGGCTGAGGTGGGCGGATCACGAGGTCAGGTGATCGAGACCATCCTGGCAACATGGTGAAATCTCGTCTCTACTAAAAATACAAAAAGTTAGCTGGGCATGGTGGCGTGTGCCTGTAATCCCAGCTACTTGGGAGGCTGAGGTGGGAGAATCGCTTGAACCAGGGAGTCGGAGGTTGCAGTGAGCCGAGATGGTGCCACTGCAATCCAGCCTGGCGACAGAGCAAGATTCCCGCCTCAAAAATAAATAAATAAATAAATAAAAAGCCGGGCATCGCGCACGCCTGTAATCCCAGCAATTTGGGAGGCCGAGGCGGCGGGGGGGGGCGGGGCGGGGGGGAGGGGGCGGGGCGGCGGGGGGATCACTTGAGGTCAGGGGTTCGAGACCAGCCTGGACAACATGGTGAAACCCCGTCTCTACTAAAAATACAAAAAATTAGCTGGGCGTGGTGGCGGGCACCTATAGTCCCAGCTACCCGGGAGGCTGAGGCAGGAGAATGGCATGAACCCGGAAGGCGGAGCTTGCGGTGAGCCAAGATCGTGCCACTGCGCTCCAGCCTGGGCGACAGCGCAAGACTCCGTCTCAAACAAACAAACAAACAAACAAAAAGTCAAAGTGTAGAGAAGTCCTGGAATGGAGACTGGGGGCGGATGACAATAGAGTGGAGAATGGCAGAGGTCGTGGTAAATGATAGTGGCAGCAGCCTTTTATCTGGAGACTTCAGGCCCTCCTATGCTAACTATCTTTATGTTCAGAGCTCATTCAGTACAGGGTGTTCTCCAGGATAAAACCTCGGGACTCTCTCTCCAACCGGCCCTGTCCCTTGGGTGACTACCTGAGGCTTCTCTTTACCTTTCCTTTCACATCCATCATTGCCTTTCAAGTCCTCCTTCATCAAGAAATCTTAGTGCTTTTCAAACATAAGTGTGCATACATATCACCTAGGGAACTTGTTAAGTTGCAGATTATGATTTAGGAAGTCTGTTGTGGGGCCTGTGATTCTGCATTTCAATAAGCTGGTTAATGCAGATGCTGCTGGTTCATAAACCGTATGTTTTTCTTTTTTTTTTTTTTTTTTTAGAGAGATGGGGTCTGCTGTGTTTACCAGGCTGGTCTCAAACTCCTGGCCTCAAGCCATCATCCCATCTCAGCCTCCCAAAGTGCTGGGATTATAGGTGTGAGCCACCACACCCAGCAATGAACCAATGGGATGAGATTCTAGAACAGTCTCATCCCATTGTCTTCTCCCCTGGCTCTGTGCCCCTTTAGTTTATCCTACATTTTACATGTATAACTGGTGTGACCTGCTCCACTGGATGTTGCAGGTTCTCCTCCTAATAGAAGATGTAGAGACCTATTGTGATTCAGTCTTGCTTGTCCAGCTACCTACACAGCCTGGGCTACCACAGTTCTCCAGGAAAGAAGGATCCCTCTCTTGAGTACCTCACTTTGGCTCCCTCTTAAGTTTGCTCTCACCATTGTGCCTCAGACTATAAAAACCATGCCAGGACAGCCAGGAAGGGAGACGGTTTCATCATTAGCCAAAGACTTGTGTCAAAACAATTCTCTCCCTGGTTTTGTTTGTTTTTGTTTTTTTGTTTTTTGTTTTTTTTGAGACGGAGTATCACTCTGTCACGCAGGCTGGAGTGCACTGGCGAGATCTCGGCTCATTACAACCTCTGCCTCCCAGGTTCAAGCGATTATCCTGCCTCAGCCTCCCAAGTAGCGGGGATGACAGGCACCTGCCACCATGCCTGGCTAATTTTTGTATTTTTAGTGAAGATGGGGTTTCACCATGTCAGCCAGGCTGGTCTCAAACTCCCGACCAGAAGTGATCTGCCCACCTCGGCTTCCCAAAGTGTTGGGATTACAGGCGTGAGCCACGGCGCCAAGGCAGGCGGATCACTTTAGGTCAGGAGTTTGAGACCAGCCTGGCCAACATGGTGAAACCCCGTCTCTACTAAAAATACAAAAATTAGCTGGTGTGGCGCATGCCTGTAGTCCCAGCTACTCAGGAGACTGAGGCAGGAGAATCGCTTGAACCTGGGAGGCGGAGGTTGCAGTGAGCTGAGATCGCGCCACTGCACGGAGGCCGAGGCGAGTGGATCACAAGGTCAATATGGTGAAACTCCGTCTCTATTAAAAATTCAAAAATTAGCCTGGCGTGGTGGCACACGCCTATAGTCCCAGCTACTTGGGAGGCTGAGACAGAAGAATCGCTTGAACCCAGGAGGCGGAGGTTGCAGTGAGCCAAGATCACACCATTGCACTCCAGCCTGGGCGACACAGCAAGACTGTCTCAAAAAATAAATAAATAAATAAACACAAATACAAATATAGGCATTGAAACCCCTAAAAAAAACCTAATCCAAATCATCATGTATGAAAATATTTCTCTTTTTAAAAATATGGCCCATCAAGAGGTAAGCACAAACTTAAAGTTTTAGAAGAGTTCCCCAGAGAAGATAGCCATGGACCTGTAGATTCCCCCTAGTCTTAACTTGAGAAACACAGGACTAGGAAGGGACCAACAACCTGTGAAGATTCAGAAATAGGAAAGAGTGGCCAGGCGCAGTGGCTCATGCCTGTCATCCCAGCACTTTGGGAGGCCAAGGTGGGTGGATCACTCGAGGTCAGGAGTTTGAGACCAGTCGGGCCAACATGGTGAAACCCCGTCTTTACTAAAAATACAAAAATTAGGCTGGTGTGGAGGTGTGTGCCTGTAGTCTCAGCTACTTAGGAGGCTGAGGCAGGAGAATCGCTTGAACCCGGGAGGCAGAGGTTGCAGTGAGCCGAGATCACACCACTGCACTTCAGCCTGGCGACAAAGTCGCCTTATCCAATTTCCTTTCCTTTCCTGAGGTAGAAAGGAATTTGAGAAATTCTGTCTCAAAATAATAATTTGTAAAAAAAGAAATAAGAAAGAGTATAGGCTCTCCCCCAAAGTGTAGATACTACATGCTTGTTGACTGACTCACACTATCTCCCTCAAGTCTAATTGTGCCAGAGCTCAGCTCTTTGGAGGCAGTCATCAAGGAATCAAGACGAAAGAGAGCCACAAACCAGGAAGATTATATCCTTAAGCCTGGCTAGAGAACAAGACATTTGAGAAAGATACATAAAGAGGATGACAAGTGAAATTTGCTTATCTGTTGGGATAGATGCTTGGACTGGAAAGTGGGGAAACAGCAATGTCTCTCTCCTCTCCCTTTCCCCTAAAGATTTGAGAATGAAATGGAAGATGAGCAGGCATGAGAGGAAGAGATGAAAAGGAATCTTCTTCCCCAAGGGACTGGATCCAGTCTCTTCTTGTCACTACAAATTGTCCTCTGCTCCCTCTCTTCCTTTGGTGTTGCAGGGACCAACATCACCAATACCTCCAGAAATCGTGTGAATGCAAATGGGACATACTTACCCCGTCTTGCTACACAGAAACCTCTCGAAAAGTGAGACTCTGGGTTAAGAAGGTCAAAGAGGGCCAGGTGCAGTGGCTCACGCCTGTAATCCCAGCACTTTGGGAGGCCAAGGCGGGCAGATCACATGAGGTCAGGAGTTCGAGACCAGCCTGGTCAACATTGTAAAACCCCATCTCTACTAATAAAATATAAAAATTAGCCAGGTGTGGTAGCGGGCGCCTGTAATCCCAGCTACTTGGGAGGCTGAGGCAGGAGAATCGCTTGAACCTGGGAGGCAGAGGTTGCAGTGAGCCAGGATCACACCATTGCACTCCAACCTGGGCAATAGTGTGAAACTCCGTCTCAAAAAAAAAAAAAAAGGTCAAAGAGACATCTAGGAGAATGCAAGAACTTGGGAGGAGGGCAATAATTCTGCTCTCTATGATTGCAGAATGTTAACTCCATTTTGGAACAATTCTCCACTCCTTTAAGTGAAGAAAATTGGACTGCGGGAAACCATATTTGACAAGTTTCTGGGGATTTACCTGCAAATATATTTACATCTTACCTGGAGTCACTTCCCTCCTTCCTTTTTTCTGGGTCCTCCCCTTCTAAGATGGCTCAGAGAAACTGGCCATACTCTGTTATTCTCCTTGTTCTATCCCAGAAGGGCATTGTTTGCCTTCATTCAAGACCTAACCTGAAGCCTGGGCAACATAGAGACCCTGCCTCTACAAAATAAAAATTAGCTAGGCAGGGTGGTGCACCTGTAGTCCTAGCTATTCAGGAGGCTAAGGCGGAAGGATTACTTGAGCCCAGGAGTTGAGACTGCAGTGAGCTAGGATCACACCACTGTACCCCAGCCTGGGCAACAGAGTGAGACCCTGTCTTTTAAAAAAAAAAAAAAAAAAAAAAAAAAAGAGTTAACCTGAGGCAGAACCCAAGGAGAGGTTCAGGAGCTGGCTTGAGGTAGTTTGCCAGCTAGTGGTTGTTTCATCTTGTTCCTGCACACAGAGCATATGATGCTTGCCCTCTAAATGGATGAAGTAGAATTTTTTTCTTATTCATTCAGTAGCCCTTATTGAATACCCAGAATTTGCCAGTGAAATATGGAGACAAATACGGAGAATCCCCACCAGTAATCTAATGAGAGTGAAAAGTCAGATTAGCCAATGCTCCAGATGCAAAGGAAAAAGTGATAAGTGGCAGGGGAGTTATTTTCAACTGGGGTTGATCTGAAAATACCTCATGGATGGCTTCAGAGAGTTGAGACTTGAAAGAGGGCCGCAAATTTGATATGCAGAAATGGAAGAGACTGCCGGGCACGGTGGCTCATGCCTGTAATCCCAGCACTTTGGGAGGCTGAGGCGGGTGGATCACAAGGTCAAGAGATCGAGACTATCCTGGCTAACATGGTGAAACCCCGTCTCTACTAAAAATACAAAAATTATCTGGGCGTGGTCGCATGTGCCTGTAGTCCCAGCTACTTGGGAGGTTGAGGCAGGAGAATCGCTTGAACCCAGGGGGCGGAGGTTGCAGTGAGCCAAGATGGCGCCACTACACTCCAGCATGACGCCAGCGCAAGACTCCATCTCAAAAAACAAAACAAAACAAAACAAAACAGAAAAAAAGAAAAAGAAAAAGAAATGGAAGAGATTTATTGCAGGTGGAAGAAGCAGCACAAGGTAGGAGAAGTAAGGAAAGCCACTTAACACCCAGGATTATTCCTCTCCAGTCTGTGAGTCTCAGTTTTCCCAGGCTATTCCAATACTCCTTTGTGCTGCCCTGTCACCAGGCATTGAGCTGGTTGGAAGTTTTTACACTCTCACATTCCCCTGCGTTCTATACTCACCACATGGAACCATATGCTGCACTTATTCTCTTCCATTTATTATCTGCATGAGAGACAAAAATTCTAGCTTTCCAAAAGCTAAATAAATTTCCCCTTCTGTTTAGCTTTGGTGGTTTCTGTGGCTTTTAGTTTTGCTGGGATTTGTGTCAAAATCGTTCCTCCCTCCTTTTTGGTCCCAAAGCATTTTGCTGTGCTTCCCTTATAGTCAGGGTTTTCAAGCAGGAGGGAGGCAGCCTTTTTGGCAGTGAAGTGTTTAATGATAACAGCTTCACCTTACTAAACGCTGGCCATGCATTATGACCGTAATACTCAGCATTGTTCTAAATGTCTTGTATATATTAGCTATTTTTCTCTCACACAACTCTATGAACTACTTATTCATTCAGTGATTCAAAGAATTTTGTTTGTTTGGTTGGTTGGTTTTTGTTCTTGTTGCTGTTTTGAGATGACGTCTCGCTCTGTCACCCAGGCTGGAGTGCAGTAGCGTGATCTCGGCTCACTGCAACCTACGCCTCCTGGGTTCAAGTGATTCTCCTGCCTCAGCCTCCTGAGTAGCTGGGACTACAGGTGTGCACCCCCACGCCCGGCTAACTTTTGTATTTTTTTTAGTAGGGACAGGGTTTCACCATGTTGGTCAGGCTGGTCTCGGATTTGTGACCTCACGATCCGCCCACCTCAGCCTCCCAAAGTGCTGGGATTACAGGCGTGAGCCACTGCGCCCAGCCAAGAAATCTTTACTGAGGGCCTCCTTTGTACCAAGCACTGTGCTACATGCTGGGAATAAGGCAGTGGAAAAAGCCTTGGATCTCTGGTAACTTACATTGAATTGAAGATGACAGACGATAAAAAAATCAATAAAATTTAATACAATGTCAGGCACTAACAAGTGCTATGAACACCATGAAGCAGGGTGAGGGGTAAGGGAATGGGATAGAAAGTGCTCCCAGGTATGCATGGTGCTATATTTATTGATGATGATGATTATTATTATTTATAGAGTCTTGCTCTGTTGCCCAAGCTGGAGTGCAGTAGTGTGGTCATGGCTCACCGCAGCCTTGACCTCCTGGGCTTAAGTGATCCTCCCACCGCAGCCTCATGAGTAGCTGGGACTGCAGGTTCATGCCACCATGTCTGGCTAATTTTTTTTTTTTTTTTTAGAGACGAGGTTTCACTATGTTGCCTGGGCTGGTCTCAATCTCCAGGCCTCAAGCAATCCTCCTGCCTCTGCCTCCCAAAGTGCTGAGATTATAAGCAAGAGCCACTGTGCCTGGCCATGGTACTATATTTAATCAAGTGATGAGGGAAAGCCTCCTTGTGGAGGTGATGTTTGTGCAGATATAAATGACATAAAGGAGCAGTCATGCAAGTATCTGGAGGGAGAGTGTCCAGGAAAAGAAAAAGAGAGTGCAAAGGCCCTGAGGTAGAAAGGAATTGGATTTTTATGTTAAATTCAGAAAGGAGGTCAGAGTGAGTGGAGCAGAGTGAGCAAGGGAAAGAGTGGTAAGGGATGAAGACAGAGAGGTGGGGAGAAACAAGGCCAGGTAGGCTTCATAGGCCATGGGAAGGACTTTTTATTTTGTCCCACATGTGATCAGGAGGCATCAGAGGGTTTTGAGCAGGTAAATGATATCATCTGGTAATTTTAAAGATCACTCTGGTTTCTTCATAGAGGGTAGGCCACATCAGTAAAAAATAGAAGCAGAAAATCCAATTAAGGGACAAAGGAAGGGACAATGGAATCATGGGAGCTTGGATTAGGGTAGAGGAGAGGGCCAAGAATAGAGTCCAGAGGCTCTCTAATATTTAAAGGTCTGGAAAAGGAATAGGAGCTGTCAGTGAAGACTGAGAAGGAGCAGTAAATAAGGAACTAGGGAATGCTTTCTTTCTTTTTTGTTTTTGAGACAGCCTGTTGCCTAGGCTGGAGTGCAGTGGGGTTACCATGGCTCACTGCATCCTCGACTTCCCAGGTTCAAGTGATCCTCCTACCTCATCATCCCAAATAGCTGGGACCACAGGTGTGTGCCATTATGCCCAGATAATTTTTTAATTTTTTGTAGAGATGGGGACTCCTTATGTTGTCCAGGCTGGTCTCAAACTCCTGAACTCAAGTGATCCATCTGCCTCAGCCTCCCAAAGTGCTGGGATTACAGATATGAACCACTGCACCTGGCAGGATAATTTTTTTCTTCTTTCTTTTCTTTTTTTTCCCCCACAATTTTAAACCCAAGCAGTACACCTGGTTGGTTGTTACATGATTACATTGCATCCTGGTGGGGATTGGGCTTCTAGTGGTGTACCTGTTACCCAAATAGTGAACATTGTACCCAATAGGTAAATTTTTTTTTTTTTTTTGAGATGGAGCCTCACTCTGTTGCCCAGGCTGGAGTGCAGTGGCGCTATCTCTGCTCACTGCAACCTCCTCCTCGCCCCAGGTTCAAGTGATTCTCCTGCCTCAGCCTCCTGAGTAGCTGCAATTACAGGCTCACGCCACCATGTCAGGCTAATTTTCATGTTTTTAGTAGAGACGGGGTTTTGCCGTGTTGGCCAGGCTGGTCTCGAACTCCTGACCTCAGGTGATCTGCCCGCCTCTGTCTCCCAAAGTGCTGGGATTACAGGCGTGAGCCACTGTGCCCGACTTTTTTTTTTTTTTTTTTTTCCCGTGATGGGGTCTCACTCTGTAACCCAGGCTGGAGTGCAGTGGTGTGACTCCAGCTCACTGCAACCTCTGCCTCCCTGGTTCAAGTGATCCTCCCACTTCAGATTCCCAAGTAGCTGGGACCACAGGCACATACCACTATGCCCAGCTAATTTTTTGTGTTTTTGGTAGAGACTAGGCTTGTCTCGAACTGCTGAGCTCGAGTGATCCACCTGCCTCGGCCTCCCAAAGTGCTGGGATTACAGGCATGAGCCGTCACACCCAGCCAAATATTTGGTTTTCTATGTTTGAGTTAGTTCACTTAGGATAATGGCCTCCAGCTTCATCCACGTTGTTGCAAAGGACATGATTTCATTTTTTTTTTTTTTTTTTTTTTTGAGATGGAGTTTTTCTCTTGTCGCTCAGGCTGGAATGCAATGGCATGATCTTGGCTCACTGCAACCTCCGCCTCCCAGGTTCAAGCGATTCTCCTGCCTCAGCCTCCCGAGTAGCTGGGATTACAGGCACGTGCTACCATGCCTGGCTAATTTTGATATTTTTAGTAGAGACGGGGTTTCACCACATTGGCCAGGCTGGTCTCAAACTCCTGACCTCAGGTGATCTGCCCACCTCGGCCTCCCAAAGTGGTGGGATAACAGGCGTGAGCCACCGCGACCGGCCAATTTCATTCTTTACTATGGCTGTGAAATAATTATTTATTGTGTCCTCCAGTTGCAAGGAGTTTAACAGCATGCCTGGCCGCTGCTCACTAGACGCTAGGAGCACCTCCTCAGTTGTGATAACTGAAACAACTCTAGACATTGCCAAATGTTCCTGGGGGTGGGATGGGAGGATCACCCACTCTTGAAAACCACTGGTCAAGATGTCCCACAGGAGATACTTGGCAAGACAATGCACAGGTCAGACCCCCATGACAAAGAACTATCTGACCCAAAATGTCAATAATCCCTGAAACTGAGAAACCCTAGTTTAGACTCTAGTTGAGAACTTATTCCTGGAACTAAGCCAGGTTTGGCTGTGTTTTCTCGTGGCCCAATAACGAGAAGCAGACAAACTAGGAAAGAAGGGAATTTGTTGCTGTCACCGGATACAGGGAAAGGGTCGGAGATAATTCCACCAGACCAACTCAAAGTGTTACAATTTTCTTTTTTTCTTTTTTTTGAGACGGAGTCTCGCTCTGTCGCCAGGCTAGAGTGTAGTGGTGCGATCTTGGCTCACCACAACCTCCGACTCCTGGGTTTAAATGATTCTCCTGCCTCAGGCTCCCGAGTAGCTGGGACTACAGACGCGTGCCACCACGCCCAGCTAATTTTTGTATTTTTAGTAGAGACAGGGTTTCACCATGTTGGCCAGGATGGTCTCGATCTCTTGACCTTGTGATCCACCCACCTCGGCCTCCCAAAGTGCTAGAATTACAGGTGTGAGCCACCACACCCGGCCAGTGTTACTATTTTCTTAGTGTTTATACAGGTTTAGGTTATATGCCTACATGCAGTATGGCATTCACCAAAGTCTATCAGTAACTAATTTTGTTTCAACTAGAGGGTCAGAGGCAAAAAAATTCTTGCTAAGTCTGATTAAGCTGTGAGGGCCCCAGTACCTTCAAGGCCTGTTTACTGTGGTACCAGAGTGATTATTTCTATCTTATCTCCTTTACAGCTTGGTGCGGAGAGCTGCCTTAGATTCTCCAATGAATCTATTCAAACAGCTGCCTCTGTTACCTTGACTTGTCTCAGATATCGTCGACCCGAGACGAGTCCTGGCACTAGGAATGTAAGGCTGTCTCTGTTATTTTGACTTGCTCCAGCAAGGGAGAAGCCCATGCAAGGCTCTTACTCACCATGTGTTTCATTTCTAGCTTTGATGTCTGTACACCAATTCCCCTAGGTTTAACTATTTGCTCAATGTTAAGGCAATGCTGTGGAAATCTGTCTGTGTAACTGGGGTGCTATGCAGGCCTGTCTGTGTGACTGTCAGGGAGAATTGGCCTGCCACAAACTGACCCTTGACCATTGGGTTTAGAAACTTGGAGGTCATTTGTGACTCTGACATGTGGTTTAAGTAAAGTGGTGGGGATGAGAGCCTGATTGAGAGAAATTCAAGAGTGAATGAGAGGTGAGAAAGTAGAGGCAGTGAGAAGTTTTGTTAAGTGGAGAGAGAAGTGGAACACTGAGGGAGTGAGCTGGGTCAGGGAAGAGTTTTTAAATTTAAAAATAAATGCATTATTTTATACATATAAAATTATAATTTATATGCATAAATATATATGTATTACAAAGAATAATTTTGTGAACATCAGGCAGCTTATGAAGTAAAATCTTCCCATCAGGGCAAGGTGGCTCACACCTGTAATCCCAGCACTTTGGGAGGCTGAGGTGGGCGGATCACCTGAGGTCAGGAGTTGGAGACCAGCCTGGCTAACATGGTGAAATCCTGTCTCTACTAAAACATTAGCCAGGTGTGGTGGTGCGTGCCTATAATCCCAGCTACTTGGGAGGCTGAGGCAGGAGAATCGCTTGAACCCGGGAGGCGGAGGTTGCAGTGAGCTGAGATCGTGCCATTGCACTCCAGCCTGGGTGACAGAGGGAGACTCCATCTCAAAAAAAAAAAAAAAAAAAAAGAAAGCAAAAACAAGAGGTAAAATCTTCCCCAGTATAGTTAAGGCTCCCTGAATTTCCCTTTCCAGATTGCTTTTCTGCCAAAGGGTAAGCACCATTCTCTGAATGTTGTGCTTTTACTACCTAGGTGAGTAGCGAAACAGTTTTTTTCTTTCTTTTCAGAGATGAAGTATAATTTTATAGCATGTTTGCATAATGATGGGAGTGTTGCAGTACAGAGGGGTAAACTGATTAAGTGAGAGAGAGAGAGATAGGGGATAATTTCAGGAATAACATCTCTGAGCAGGTGAGAGGGAACAGGATCCCGGGGTACAGATGAGGTGGCAGGTGGGTGCATGTCAGCTTCTCTGCGGTAGAGTTGCAGGTAGACTGGTGAATTTGGGGTGGGAACATGAGGAAGTTCCCTTCTGAAAGTTTCTGTTTTCTCACTGAAATAGGAAGAAAAGTCATCATCTTGTGAAGTTGTGGTCTCAGATTTGGGGAATGTGAACTGAGTAGGGAAAGGCGAGCTGGCATGCCACACTGAGGGCCCGCAGGAAGCAAGACCAGTCAGTATGACTGTGTGTTTCTCCCCAGCTGTTGAATGCAGGTGTGGAGCAGGCAGAGTGGGATTTGACCAGGGATAAAATGTGCCAGAGGAAGGGGGGCCAGGAGTACAGGGTGAGGGCTGAGAGGCGATTACCGTGTTGAACCTTGGAATCTAAACTGGGTAATGAGGAAAGTGAAGAATTGAGATCAAACAATGAAAAGTAAGTTAGTGGATGGGAGGCCCAGATGGGGTTGAAGAATTTTTGGGATAGGGGTACTGGGGAGCAACATGAAAAGACTGAGGATGAGATTTTAGAAGGGCAGTAGGTATTGGTGGCAACCAAGTTGAAGGTATGACATAGGGCGAGAGGGAAGCAGGGAGAAATAAATCACTGCAAGAGAAGGGCAGGGTGCTAGAGAATCTGCATGAACATTGAAAACAAAAATAATAAAACGGGGCCAGGCACTGTAGCTCATGCCTATAATCCCGGCACTTTGGGAGGCTGAGGCAGGCAGATTGTGTGAATTCAGGAGTTCGAGACTGTCCTGGGCAACACAGTGTGACCTCATCTCTATTAAATATCAAAGGCCAGAGGCCAGGCGCAGTGGTTTATGCCTGTAATCCCAGCACTTTGGAAGGCCGAGGCGGGTGGATCACGAGGTCAAGAGTTTGAGACCAGCCTGACCAATATGGTGAAACCCCATTTCTACTAAAAATACAAAAAATTAGCCGGGCATGGTGGCACACGCCGGTAATCCCAGCTACTCAGGAGGCTGAGGCAGGAGAATCGCTTGAACCTGGGAGGCAGAGGTTGCAGTGAGCTGAGATGGCACCATTGCACTCCAGCTTGGGCAACAAGAGCAAAATTCCGTCCAAAAAAAACAAAAACAAACGAACAAAAAAACAGGCCAGGGGCGGTGCCTCAAGCCTGTAATCCTAGCACTTTGGGAGGGTGAGGAGGGCGGATCACCAGGTCAGGAGATTGAGACCATCCTGGCTAACACGGTGAAACCCCGTCTCTACTAAAAATACAAAAACAAAATTAACTGGGCATGGTGGCGGGTGCCTGTAGTCCCAGCTACTTGGGAGGCTGAGGTGGGAGGCGGGAGAATGGCATGAACCCGGGAGGCAGAGCTTGCAGTGAGCCGAGATCGCACCACTGCACTCCAGGCTAGGCGACAGGGTGAGACTCTGTCTCAAAAAAAAAAAAAAAAAAACCCAAAATTTATCCGGGCGTGGTGGCAGGCGCCTGTAATCCTAGCTACTCAGAGGCTGAGGCAGAGAATTGCTTGAATCCAGGAGGCAAGGTTGCAGTGAGCTGAGATTGTGCCACTGCACTCCAGTCTGGGCGACAGAGCCAGACTCCATCTCAAAAAAAAAAAATAAAATAAAAATAAAAAAAATTAGCTGGGAGGATCACTTGAGACCGGGAGATCGAAGCTCAGTGAGCTATGATCCTGCTGCTGCACTCCAGCCTGGGTGACAGAGCGAGACCCTGCCTCAGAAAAAAAAGAAAAAAGAAAAAGAGGCTGGGCTCGGTGGCTCACGTGTGTAATCCCAGCACTTTGGGAGGCCGAGGTAGGCAGATAACCTAAGATCAGGAGTTCAAGACCAGCCTGGCCAACATGGTGAAACCCTGTCTCTAGTAAAAATACAAAAATTAGCTGGGCGTGGTGGCAGATGCCTGTAATCACACCTACTAAGGCTGAGGCAGGAGAATCTATTGAACTCAGGAGGCGGAGGTTGCAGTGAGACGAGATTGCGCCACTGCACTCCAGCCTGGGCGAGAAGAGCAAAACTCCATCTCAAAAATAAATAAATAAATAATAA
Source organism: Homo sapiens (assembly GCF_000001405.40). NCBI lineage: Eukaryota > Metazoa > Chordata > Mammalia > Primates > Hominidae > Homo > Homo sapiens. The sequence continues at coordinate 3,385,239 of NT_167245.2, forward strand.
AAAGAAGAAAATGAAATGAGCGGTGGAAGTAGAGTGATCAGGTGCTGAATCTTCCATTGTAGAGGGGGAATGATGACCCAGAATCTAATCATGGTTTTCCCCCATCTGTATGAGAGCACCCATACAGATGTTATGGGAGGGCAGAGCCTCTCCTAGAGGATGGAGTCTCTGTCAGTAGAGGTGCCACAGCCAAGGGTATCACCTGCAGAGGGAGGTGAGTCAGATAGGAAGAGGATCACATTGTAACTTTTTTTTTTTTTTGAGACGGAGTCTCGCCCTGTTGCCCAGGCTGGAGTGCAGTGGCACAATCTCGGCTCACTGCAAGCTCTGCCTCCGGGATTCACACCATTCTCTTGCCTCAGCCTCCCAAGTGGCTGGGACTACAGGTGCCTGCCACCACACCCAGCTAATTTTTTGTATTTTTAGTGGAAATGGGGTTTCACCGTGTTAGCCAGGATGGTCCTGATCTCCTGACCTCGTGATCCGCCCATCTCGGCCTCCCAAAGTGCTAGGATTACAGGAGTGAGCCACCGCGCCCGGCCACACATTGTAACATTTTATTTCCTCATGAGGGAGGAGTCTGGGTGAGGTTAAGAGATCTGAGATTAAGAAACAAACATTCCTAAGGAAAAGCAAAAGAAAGCTAAGTCATTTTTTATTCATCTCTCCCTTTGCCTGATTCCTTTCAATTCAATTGAGTTCAAAGATTGGTAGAGGAGGTTTTATCTGATGAGGATCTGAAAAACAGAGATAAGCCAGATTTGACTCTTGCCTTCAAGTAGCTCACAAGGTAAACTGTGTATGTCAAGATATCAGGTGGGAAGAGATGAGAAAATATGCAGATAACATGAATCTTAGATCTAGATACTTTTCTCCTAAAGAAAATTGCCCGGGTTGAAGTCATTTTTTGGCCTTTCCATTCTCCCTGGGTGGTCCTTAAAGTGTCTGTAAACCTGTGATTCCCAACCTTGGCTGCCCTTTGGAATCACCTGGTTATGTCTTAAATACTGATGCCAGAGTTCCACCCCCAGAGATTCTTTTTTGTTTGTTTTGAGATAGGGTCTCACTCTGTTGCCCAGGCTGGAGCACCGTGTTCTGATCACTGAAGCCTCTGCCCCTCAGGCCCAAGCAATCCTCCCGTCTCACCCTCCCAAGTAGCTAAGACTACAGGTGAGCCATGGGGCTCGGCTAAATTTTTTTTTTCTTTTTCTTTTTGAGACTGAGTGCCTCTCTGCCACCCAGGCTGGAGTGCAGTGGTGCAATCTGGGCTCACTGCAACCTCCGCCTCCTAGGTTCAAGCGATTCTTCTGCCTCAGCCTCCTGAGTAGCTGGGATTACAGGCATGTGCCACCATACCCGGCTGATTTTTGCAGTTTTAGTGGAGACGGGGTTTCACCACGTTGGCCAGGCTGGTCTTGAACGCCTGACCTCAGGTGATCCACCCACCTCGGCCTCCCAAAGTGCTGAGATTATATGTGTGAGCCACCGCGCTCGGCCTAGGCTAATTTTTTTTTTTTTTTTTTTTTTTTGAGACGGAGTCTCGCTCTGTTGCCCAGGCTGGAGTGCATGGCACGATCTCGGCTCACTGCAAGCTCCACCTCCCGGGTTCATGCCGTTCTCCTGCCTCAGCCTCCTGAGTAGCTGGGACTACAGGCACCTGCCACCACACCCAGCTAATTTTTTTGTATTTTTAGTAGAGACGCGGTTTCACCATGTTAGCCAGGATGGTCTCGATCTGGCCTAGGCTAGTTTTTAAACTTTCTTGTAGAGATGGGGTCTCACCATATTGCCCAGGCTAGTCTCGAACTCCTGGGCTTAAACGATCCTCCTGCCTCGACTTCCCAGAGTGCTGAGATTACAGGTGTGAGCCACTGGCACTGAGCCCAGAGATTCTGATTTAATTGTTTTAGGATGCGACTTGGGCTTTCAGATTTTTCAGTGCTCCCCAGTGGATTCTAATGTGTAACCTGGGGTAAGAACCGTTGCTCCAAGGAATGCCTGAAGCTCTGTTTGGAAACCCACTGCTTTAATCTAACCCAGAGGAAAGAGAGACACCTTTTTGCTACAGTGAGGGATGAATTGATCCGGACTTTGAAAGATATTGTAAATAAAATTTGACCAAGTAGAGAGGCAGATGTCAAGAGGGGGAGAACATCATGAGCAAGAGCCTAGATGTGGTCTAAAGCCTCTGAAATTTGTGACAAGCTGCAAACAATTTGGTTTATAATAGGCAGAGATTTGGGAAGGAGGTCTAAGATTTGGGAACAGCTGGGCAAATACCTGGAGGTGGGAATGATGAGTAATTCAGTATGGTTAGAAATTAGAATGAACAGAGAAGCTGGATGATTTTAAATTATGGAAGGTGTTAAAGGCCAGATTAAAATTTTGTAAATAATTGAGTAGGCAATAGGGAACCTTGAAGGGCTTTTGAGCAGTGGAGTTATGAAAGTGTGTTTAGGGAGGCTGATCTGACAATAGTGTGGAGGGAGACTTGAGGTAGGGAGAAGTAGGAAGTAGGGAGACCTGTTGGGAAAGCTGATGCAATAATCCTAATGAGGTAATTTTTCCAGCAAGGGCTGGGGAAAAATTACAGATTCAAAAGACATTGTGGTGGCAGAACTGACTAGGCTTGAGAGCACACCAAAAATAAGGCAGGAGGGAGAGGGAGGAGGCGGCAAATTTCTAGATAAGGAAGAGTGATTGGGAAAATGGTCTATTAACAGAGACAGGGAAGCAGGTTTTCTGTGGCATTTCATCAGTTTGTTTTGGAATGTGTTGATTTTAGAGGACCAGCAAGCATCTTCCATGTGGCTATGATCTTCAGGCACTGGAAAAAACGTCTGCATGTAAAATACAGGTTGGAAAAGCATTTGATTAGCTGAGTTGAGTGAATGAGCTTTTCAAAGGAAAGTCTCAGAGAAGGAAAAAAAATCAGAGATGGACACTTAGGGGAAGGGAGGAGAAAAAGCAAGGAGGGAAGGCAGAGGCGGAATGGTTAGAGGTCTGTGTGTGTGTCGGGGGAAGGGAGGTAATACGTTCTTGAACCTGGGTATGTGGGGAATTCAGGGTCAAGGGACAAACATGGGAGGGCTTAGAGAGGCAGAATACTGTGAAAATGCCATTGATTTGGGATCTGGGTAATTGGTTGCCATTTGAGAGGGAGGTTTCAGGAGAATAGGGTGTGGATGCATATTCCAATAAGTCAAGAAATAGTGGGTATGAAAAAAAGACAGATACAGACATATCTCTGATAGCAATATTCCGCACCCCCCTGCCCCTTTTTTTTTGAGATGGAGTTTCGCTCTTGTTGCCCAGGCTGGAGTGCAATGACTTGATCTTGGCTCACTGCAACCTCCGCCTCCCAAGTTCAAGCGATTCTCCTGCCTCAGCCTTCCAAGTAGCTGGGACTGCAGGTGCCCGTCACCATGCCCGGCTAATTTATTATTTTTAGTACAGATGGGGTTTCACCATGTTGGCCAGGCTGGTCCCGAACTCCTGACCTCAAGTGATCCGCCTGCCTTGGCCTCCCAAAATGCTGGAATTACAGGTGTTAGCCACCGTGCCCAGCCATGAATTCTGTTTTTCAAGAAGTTTGGTAAGGTAGGCACATTAAATGCGAAACATCCAAGGGCGAACCCATGATATTCACACCTCACCCCACCCTCCTCCCACATCTCCTATCACATTTCCTATCTCAGTGCATGGCTTCCCTTCTAGATTGTAAGCTCCATGAGGTCAGGGGTCACACCTGCTGTCTGGGTGGATGTCTCACCAGCATCCAGCATGGAGTCTGCATGTTGCATAAATGCATAAATTAGGTTAGGACCCTGTCCTGTGGGTGTACAACCAAAGACCCAAGCCCACTGCTGGCAGCATCCCCTAATCACCACTCCCCTCAGAAAAGAGGCCTATTGGTTGACCTCAGGATAGGAGAGGGCAACTAGTCCCAGGGAGACTTGAGAGGCCATTGACCTCCTCCCTGGGCTCCCACAGCAATCTGCTCTCTTTGCCTTTCCTATACCCCCTACAGTCCAGCATGTGGGGCTCTAATCCAAGTTATCTGCCACCCTCCAGCCCACAGTCAGGAACAGCTATGGGCAGCTGGCATCTCTTCTTGGCCCCCATCACTCTATCCTTGACCAGCTTCTTCACCATGGTCTGCCCTCTCTGTTCTCTTGTCTTCCTGGAGTTCTGGGGATAGTAGGGAATGGAAAAGGGGTACTGGGGAAATAAAGCCTCACTAAGAAAATAAAGCCTCACTGAGAATGGACCCCAAGGTCTTCCTTGGTGGATTCCCAGGGAGCTCCCCTCCGTCCCCCATATTCACGTGTCTCTCTGGCGATCTGGGAATCTGTGTCCCTCACGTTAGTCTCTGTCGGGTTTTCTTTTTTTTTCCTTGGAAGAGGAGATGAAGGGAAGTGAAAGGCGGAATCAAAAGTGGGGAGGGTCTTTGCGGGGCCGCAGTCTTTGGAATTGCGGGCGATAAATCAACTAAGTCTCTTTAATATTGTCTTTCAGAAGTTCACACACACTCACACACAGATCAGAACAAGGCGGGGCCGCCGAGGGGAGCGGGGAGCGGGGACTTGGGAGGTCCATAGCCTGGATTCCCTTCTGCCCGGCTGCCCAGGGGCTGGGATGGGTGGAAGGGAGTATTTACAGAGCGTTTACAGGCAGGTTTCTTATCCCAGGGAGAAGGGTCCTACACCAGGAACTTCCCAAATGTCCTTAAAAAAAGCAAAAGGAAAGGTTCTGGGATTAGCAAGAAAATAGGCAGATACCTGGGTGGAGGAGGGACAAAAATGTACTTGCAAAAAACAGGAGTGTGGGGGCCTTACTACCCCAGGGCTCGGTCCTTTTGCCGGAAGAAAGGGAGGGGTCTGTCCGTCTGTGGGCGAGGCCTGGAGCCACAAACCCAATCACTGGACTGAATCACCCCGCGGAGAAGAAAAGAAGGCGGAGCCTGCCGACCTGGAGGCGGGGTTTTGTCAGAGCTGGGGCGGTGCTTATAGAGGAGGCGGGGTTTTAGGGACCAAACCGAGGTTGCTCGGTTGGGGGCGCTACACTTTGAGGGTGAGGGGGCCTGGAGCGACTGAGGGTCCGGCGTTTGGCCGGGATCCCGGAAAGCGGCGTCCCTGGGGGTGTGGGTTTTGGAGGGGTTCCTGAGGAACTGGATTCCGAGCTTGCTCGCAAGGCGAGACGTTCCGTGGAGGCGGAGTTTACGATGTATCCAAGTCTGACGGCCCCAGAAACGGGTGTGCAGGGCGCCCATTGGGTCCGCGGTATGACTGCAGAAAGAGCCTGGGAGATCGAGGGGCGCAGAGTGGGGCCGGACCAGGGGCGTTTTTAGGGATCCCAGTAGTTCTCGTGGTGCTGCGCGGCGATGATGATGACTACGGTGAGGATGGTACAGAGCACCATGGCCGCGATGCCCACGGCCAGGGAGATGAAGGAGAAGTTCCGGGCCTCGCGTGAAGCGATCTCGGCCGACACCATGTCTCCGCGGGCCAAGGCCGTGCGCACCTACGGAGGAGGGGTGGGGGAAGGAGGTCAAAGAGCTGCGGCCTCGTTCGAACGCCTCAGCCTTTCTCTAAGATGGTCCCCAGAACGCCCAGAACTCCCTGTCCCCGCCCCCAAACCGAGTATGCCCCTGCCCCCTACCTGCACGGCCTTGAAGATGGCAATGATGCCAGTAGGCCAGAAGCAACAGATGGTGGTCAGCACCGCGATGGGCATGTAGTCGTGTGGCGGGCGCCTCGGCTCCAGTAGGGCCAGCCCTGGGCCCTGGGGCGGCGGGGGGAGAGTGGAGGTCACTCCTGTTCCCCCCGGGGTCCCGCCTGCATATGGCTGTGGAAGGAAATTTGGGGGGCAGGGGCATCACTCTGACCCTCTCCCAGCCTACCAGCGTTGGGCGGCTGGCAGAGTGGCTTTAAAAGCACAATTTTTACCTATGGCTTCTCAAAATAAAGCACCCATTACCCTTCCAGGACACCCATAAATTCCACCTAAGCCCCTCTCCTCCCTTCCTTGCTTCATTAACCACCATATTCTTGGGCTTTCTACATTCTCTCCCGCAAGGTATGGTCCCACTGGGGCTGTCCTGGCCTCAGGTCAGACCTTCTTTCTTCCCTCCAGACACCTACCAGGCCTCCCCTACCCCCTTAGTCCCAGGCTTCTCCCACATCCCTCTTGGTTCCCAGCTTCCATTCCCCCCGTCCCCCGCCAGGCGGTTTCCTACTTTCAGACCTCCTCTGAACCTCTAGGCTCCGATCCCCCTCCCAGGCCCTGACTCTGGGCACCAGTAGACTCCTACTCCCGGGTCTCTCCCTAGTCCTTCCTGTCTCAGGCTCCCTTCTTTCTAGGGCTTGTCCCGGGAACACTACCTGTTCCCTGCCCTTGTTCCTCTATCCTACCAGCCCCCAGCGTATCCCCAATTTCAAGTCCTGTATCGCGTCCCCCTCTTTCCCATGTCCCTGTCTGCCCGGCACTCACCGTGCCCACCGGGTAGACCGGCACGTAAGCAGTGCAAGGCTGCAGCTGCAGGGGGTATCCGGGCGCTACGTAGCCCCCCAGCGGCAGCGTGCCCACAGTCCCCGCGTGCGTGGGCACCACGAAGCCAGGGGCCTGGGCAGTCTGGGCTGGCGCCGGCGGGGGCGGGGCGGCGGCAGCGGGCGGCGGCGGGGGAAGTGGGCCCTCGAAGCGAGTCTCCTGCAGGTAAGGGTCGGGTGGCATGCGGGGCAAGGTAGCGCAGCCGGGTGGGGGTGCCCCGGCAGCAGGGCCGGGAGGGGCGTGGTGGGGGGGCCTCGGCAGCGTGGCAGAGGAGGAGGGACCGCGCTGAGCGGTGGCCGCGGAAGAGGCCAGGCCCCCTGCCCCTAAGCGCGGGAGGGTGGCGGTGCCAGACTGATGGTAGTGGTGGTGGTGGTGATGGTGTGAGGAAGGGGCTGCCTGTGGCGGTGGGGCTGGGGGTTCGGCTGGAGGCTGAGGGGCATTGTAGGGCGGCGGAGAAGTGTGAGGGACTGAGTCTGGGAGTCCTGGGGGAGGTGAGTGGAGGAGAGTATAAGAGGAAAGATGACACAGTGATGAGTTGAGGAGGGGGTAAGGGGAAACACAGCCGGTCAGGGATGGAGAAAGATAATGGGAGAGACACATAGAGAGAGACGGGTGAGAAACCATCTCTAATTTGAGGGGCAAGAGAGGGGCTGTATCTAGGCCATCTGCCCCCCTCCTTCTTCCTTCCAATCTAGTTTTGAGGTCACAACTCTGGTCTGCTTCTTTTCTGTCTTTTTCATCACCATGCACCCAGCTCTCACCTGCAGACCTAATCCCCTCTCCTTTGCTATAGCTGCCTTTGGGCTGGCCTATCCGAGCTAGTCCTGTGTGTGCGTATGCGTAGACATGCAACCCTGTGTTAATATGTGCTCAATTCAACAGTTGTATAAACACATGTGGGATGACATGTGTTCCACTCTGCTGTTCCTTCAGTGGGGGGAGGAGTGCCCCAGCCTCTGTGAGAATCTCGGGACCTCTTTTAGGGCAGATTAAGAAGAGCCCTCTGGATTTTGCTCCCTTGACAACCCCCATCTGGTCATGTCTCCATATTTCCTCACAGGATGTCTCCATGCCAGCCAGTGATTGTCCATCTGTCACTCCCAATGATGCCATCCCTGCAAAACCTGGCTGTACCTCCTTCACCCTCTCAACCTACCCCCCTGACCATGTTGTTGGCAAGGGGCAGAGGCTGCCACTGGAAAGAGGAAAGGAAGAGAAAGGGGGAGACAGAAAGAGGAGGGGGACTGGGGGAGTGTTGAGAGCTGGAGAGAAGGGGAATGAAATAGAACCACAGCTGAGGAGGGGTAAGGGAGGGGGTTGGGGCAAGGGGGACGGAGAGTCTGGAGACAGTGGAGGGGGTGGGAGGTTTTGTTATTGTTTTTACCTGACTTTTCGGATGACATGCCTGCGGTCTCGCTGGGACAGGGTCCCTGCAGCCGGAGTGGGGGTCCTCGGCCGGTGCTGGAGTCTGGGTGCTGGATGGCGCAGCCGGCAGCAGCGCAGAGATGGAGAGATGAAGGCAGCGGCGCGGGGGGGGGGGGCGGGGGGGGCGGGCGGAGGGAGAGCGGGGAGGGGGGGAGCTTAAAGGGACCGAGGCGAGGGAGGGGGAGCGCTTCAGATGTTTCCCACTCGGTCTCTCTCTGCTCTCGGACCACCTCTCTCCTCCTCTTACCCCGGCATTCAAGCCCCCAGTTTGGGCTCCTTTGGAGTTGTCATGGAAACACGGAGGCTAGACCAGGCGAGGCGGGTGGGACTAAGGAAAGGAAGGAAGGAGAACTCTCTGGAGTCTCCCCCACCAAGACTCAGTGATTGTATTGTGGGAGGAAGTGAACAGGTTCTCAGTGGAGTTAATAACCCAGGTGCCTCCAGAGGCAGGTCGTCTCCCCCTCTTAGCTCCCTGCAAGGTGCCAGGGTCTTCTCCCAAATCCTTGGCCCCAGTTTCCTCCTCTTTAGAAGAGATAAATACTTGTGTGTGAGAGAGAATTGTGCAGAGTTCAGAACTGCGATGGTCTGAAAAGTTCCCAGGGTTTGGTGAACCTACCAACCTAGCAGTAAAGAGGGAGGCCCAGGTCTGTAAATCAGGGGGAGCTGGGCCTTGGAGGGAAAAGGGAGAGAGAGTTTGGGCGGTGTGCATACATACCTTCTTCGTCCAGGACTAAGGAGCTGAAGCTCTTTTGGAGGGGGTAGGGGGTATGACTTAACTGCTCATTTCTGGCAGCTCTGTTGGTAATGTGTGCTTGTTCCCCCACTTTCCCTTTGCTTTTGAGGCTGCTTAGAGTCTCTGGGCTGGTCAATGTTCAGATCCATTCCCTAAACCCCCCTACTCCCACCCACCACCTCCCACCAAGACGCATCTCCAGCTCCTGAGTCGACCTGCAGTACAGCGTTATTAGTCTTTTTATTTGCTTATTGCATCTTGGGAGCGCGTGGGTGGGTGAAGGGAGCGAGGATAGGAAGTCTATGGAGATTTACACCAGTTTTTTTTTTTTTTTAAACAAAAACACAGCCAGATAATCATTATTCTTCCCTTACGTCCCCCCAGCCCCCACCTGGGGCAGTCGCTCTCCCGGCTGCGTCCCTTTTCGTCCATGTCCTAGCAGAGACTACAGAGCAGTACAGAGGCTCTCGCTGAAACCAGTCCCAGGCTCCACAGAGTCAGATCACGGCTTCACACCAGTCGTTCTGGTCACTTAGGCGTTCGCGTGAGCGCTCAACCCCTTACCGCCACCTCATCGTCACTCTACACCATTCTGAGCGCAAAAATGTTTTGATTGAGACAAATTTAGACCAAGCAATGACCTTGTAAACAGAGAGAGGGGCTCAGACATGCTGAGAAATCCTTATCTCTAGAGAAACGTCTTTAAATGCTAAGTAAAAGCCCTAGCAAGTAAAAGCCCTGAGGCACTAGGGTGTCGGTTAGGGGTCACAGGCGGAGAGGTGGGGCGCCTGGGGGTTTCGGTAGGGAGCCACCCACAGATAACTCAGACAGCCAGATTCTGGGGGTCGTTCAGGTTGAAAGACTGGTCGAAATTACGCGGGCATGAGTCAGCGCATCCCTACGCGCCCTCCGCCCCTTGAGGGTGGGTCGCTTATAGGGAGGGGAGTAGAGTAGGGCAGGAGAAACTGGGCCAGGCTGCACTTAGCTCAAGGGGCCTCGAGGACTCTCTGCGTCTCTGGAGACAAGGGCACTACACGCACTTCAGAATGAAGAGTTGTAAGTCGCTGACCTGGGGCGGACTGGAGGGTGGGGTGGGGTGGGTGTTGAGGGGCACGCCCGGGCTGGCATCAGCCCTCCAGGCCACCCTGCCACTCACCCAGCACACGGCAAAATGCAGAGGACTACCTTTCCCTGGTCCGCCCCCTGGCCGCCCCTTGGGGAATGCAAACTTCGTGTTCTGCTGCGGAGCCAGACGCCTGTATTGGGAAGTGGGGAGAATCAAGGCGGGGAAATCGGACTTTTGGGTCGCTGGGGGCAACGAAGCCTGGAGAGGCCTTCTTTCCATTCCCAGAATATGTTTGCTGCTTTTTCCTCTCCCCACTGGCCTAAATGGATCGCTCCGCCTGTTTCCTCCCCAGCACCTAGGGCGCAATGGAATATTCCATTGCCCCTCCTGTCCTGGGTCTGTGTTGCGGGGAACGCTCGCGCGGTTGCCAGAGAAAGCCCCGGACGTGACGGATTTGCGCGACCCCAAGCAGCCCGCCCTTCCCCCTCCCATCCGTCATTCCCCTGCGCTCTCTTTCCTCACCCTTCCCCCCGCCACCGTGGGTTCCAGACTTGGGATAAGTAAACAGCGGGTGGAGCGAGGCCTACGGACCCAGGCCAGGTGGGAGTCTGCACTCTTCAAGGGGCCTGGGCTGCTGCTCACGGGTATTAAAGAACTCCGCGTTGTTCATGGCTGAGGCGATGCATTAGGAAGATCCTGGACCTAGAGAACAAGTCCCCCGAACGCTGAGTTGGAGGCGGGACTTCGGGTGCGCGTTGGTGCGTCAACGTGGTGGGGGGGTGTGTTTGTAGGGAGAGGGCTGGAGTAAGTTAAAAGTAGGCTATTTTGTGACACGGACCTGGTGTGGGAGCGAGAGGAGGTGGCTTGATTGCCGGGCGTCTGTTCCGAGGGAGGAGGGTGTTGCCATCTCCCTCACATGCCCTTATCACCCCTTTCTCAGGCGGGAGCATGCTGGGGCTCTGGGGGCAGCGGCTCCCCGCGGCGTGGGTCCTGCTTCTGTTGCCTTTCCTGCCGCTGCTGCTGCTTGCAGCCCCCGCGCCCCACCGCGAGTCCTACAAGCCGGTCATCGTGGTGCATGGGCTCTTCGACAGCTCGTACAGCTTCCGCCACCTGCTGGAATACATCAATGAGGTCTGGCAGGGGACACCTGGGTGCAGGGCGTTAGAGGCGTCTACTGTGGCAGGGGAGGGAGAGCGGGGAACTGAAAGCCACCCCTCTGGGCCTGCCCAGTTCCTCAGGGAGCTGGTGCTGGCGTGGGGGAGAGTTGGGGGACGGGATCCCTGGTTCTAGCAGGGTACAATAGACCTGTGGACGCGGGCCAGGGGGTGGCGTGTGGGAGCTTCTTAGCCTATCCCCGGTGGCTGCATTGCCCCCTTCCCACAGACACACCCCGGGACTGTGGTGACAGTGCTCGATCTCTTCGATGGGAGAGAGAGCTTGCGACCCCTGTGGGAACAGGTGCAAGGGTTCCGAGAGGCTGTGGTCCCCATCATGGCAAAGGCCCCTCAAGGGGTGCATCTCATCTGCTACTCGCAGGGTAGGCGACTCCCCTGCCCCTAACTCCTAAGCCCTATCTGAGGCTTGATCCTTATCTGAGGGACACTTCCTAGCGTCCCTTTTTCTGAACCACATTGCTCCAGGCACAACCCTGGTACCTGAGCCCTTCCTTTCTGACTTCCCTCAGCACCTGGGTCTCATCTCTGTCTTGAATGGGAGGGAGGCTCCCTACACTGCTGCCCTTTTGCTTCCTGTTACCCATGGTTCTTGGACATAAGGGCTAATGGGGCAGGTAAAAACATCCTAGAACTAGAGGCAGGAGGCCCAGCATCTAATTCGGGCTCAGTCACTTATATGATGTGTGACCTTTTGGCACAGGGTGTGCCTGCCTTCTGTAAGCCTCAGTCTCCTTTGTGTACAGTGTGTGTCTGTGTGTGTCTCTGTGTGTGTGTGTGTGTGTGTGTGTGTGTGTGTGTGTGTGTGTGGTGGGGGTGGGGGGTGCTGCTGGCTTTGCTGTCCTTAAGTGCCTGCCCAATGTGGTGTTCTGCTTACAGGGGGCCTTGTGTGCCGGGCTCTGCTTTCTGTCATGGATGATCACAACGTGGATTCTTTCATCTCCCTCTCCTCTCCACAGATGGGACAGTATGGAGGTGAGTGGGCACTAGACTCCATAGAATGCCCTGAGTTTTGGGGGAACAGAGGTTTATGGTCACTTAGCATTGCCATTCGCTTGCCAGACACGGACTACTTGAAGTGGCTGTTCCCCACCTCCATGCGGTCTAACCTCTATCGGATCTGCTATAGCCCCTGGGGCCAGGAATTCTCCATCTGCAACTACTGGCATGGTGAGTGGGGATGCTGAACTGGGGCTTCCATGGATCAGGTCAGTTGCTTCCACCTCTGCTACAACCAATAGCAGTGATGACAATAAAGATAACTTACATTTATTGAGTTATTTGAACAGGCTCTGTTCAGAATTTTTTTTTTTTTTGAGACGGAGTCTTGTTCTGTTGCCCAGGCTGGAGTGCAGTGCACCATCTCGGCTCACTGCAACCTCCGCCTGCCAGGTTCAAGTGATCCTCCTGCCTCAGTCCCCCTAGTAGCTGGGATTACAGGCAGGCGCCATCATGCCCGGCTAAGTTTTGTATTTTAAGTAGAGATGGAGTTTCGCCATGTTGGCCAGGCTGGTCTCGAACTCCTGACCTCAGGTGATCCACTCGCCTCGGCCTCCCAAAGTGCTGGGATTACAGGTGTGAACCATTGCACCTGGCCCAGAATGTTTTAAGTGTGTCACCTTATTGCCTTAGAAGGTTTAGTCTGATGTGGGAGTCAGCAAACCTTGTCTATAAAGGGCCAGAGAGTAAATATTTTTGACTTTGTAGGACATATAGTCTGTTTCACAACTCCTCAATTCTGCTGTTGTAGTGTGAAAGCAGCCATGTACCATATGTGAATGAATGTGCCTGTGTTCCAGTAAAACTTCATTTACAAAAACAAGTAGCAGGCTGGATTTGGTCCTTTGGTCACAGTTTGCCAACCTCTAGACCAGACCATGGGGCCAGAATACTTGGGTTTGAATCTTGACCCTATTGGGTGCCTTTGGGCAAGTTACTTAACCATTCTGTTACTCAGTTTTCCTTATCTGTAAAATATTATAGCATGTACTTCACCAGGTGGTTGTAAGGATTAAATAAATAAATGAATGCAATGTACTTTGAATAGTACCTGGCTCATATAGTAGATACTAGATAGAAGTACTTGCTATTGCCAGGTGTGGTGGCTCACACCTGTAATCCCAATATCTTGGCAGGGGGAGGTGGGCGCATCACCTGAGGTCGGGTTCGAGACCAGCCTGGCCAACATGGTGAAACCCCATCTCTACTAAAAATACAAAAAAAATTTAGCTGAATGTGGGCACACGCTTGTAATCCCAGCTACTCAGGATGCTGAGTCAGGAGAATTGCTTGAACCCGGGAGGCAGATGTTGCAGTGAGCGGAGATCCTGCCACTGCACTTCAGCCTGGGTGACGGAGTGAGATTTCATCTAAAAAAAAAAAAGTACTTGTTACTATGTTTACGGTTGTTATCACTACTATTATTATTTTGAGATGGAGTCTCACTGTGTCTCCCAGGATGGAGTGCAGTGGTGCAGTCTCGGCTCACTGTAACCTCCACCTCCTGGGTTCAAGTGATTCCAGCGCCCCGAGTAACTGGGATTACAGGCATGCACCACCACGCCTGGCTAACTTTTGTATTTTTAGTAGAGACAGGGTTTCGCCATGTTAGCCAGGCTGGTCTCAAACTCCCGACTTCAAGTGATCCACCTGCCTCTACCTCCCAAAGTGCTGGGATTACAGGTGTGAGCCACCGCACCTGGCCTACATTATCACTACTATTTTATTACTATCCACCTTGACTATTGCTGCAGCTTCCTTATTGGGCTTTTCACCACCAGTCTTGCCTCCCTTTTCTGCTTCTTTTTCTAACTGCTGTTTGTACCCAGATCCCCACCACGATGACTTGTACCTCAATGCCAGCAGCTTCCTGGCCCTGATCAATGGGGAAAGAGACCATCCCAATGCCACAGGTGAGAATTCAGGCTCCTACCTGTGTTGCTTTTTCTGCTTCTTTGACTCCCTATGTCTCCCTCTCCAACCTGGCCTGACCCCTGTGGCTGACTCAGCCTCTCTTCTTCCCATCCTACAGTATGGCGGAAGAACTTTCTGCGTGTGGGCCACCTGGTGCTGATTGGGGGCCCTGATGATGGTGTTATTACTCCCTGGCAGTCCAGGTAATAAGGGATTTTGTGGCCTGAAGATTGGCTAAAGACATCCCCCAACCCCAGTTGGTCTTTATCTCATGCCTAAACTGGCCTGCTCCTTCCACTGTTCAGTTAGTGCTCCTCCCCCCATTCATCATGTCACCCAAGACCAAAACCTGGGAGTCATATCCCAACCCCTTGTATCAAGCCAGTCACTAAGTCCTGCTGACTCTTCTCCTCTCCATCCCTATCACCCCCTCCCCCACTTTATAAAAACTTTTAATTTTGAAATTCTTATAGATTCATAGGAAATTGCAAAGATAGTATAGCGAGGCCCTTCACCCAGCTTCCCCCAGTGGTTGCATCCTATGTAATTATAGCACAGTATCAAAACCAGGAAATTCACATTGGTTCAATGTGTGTGTGTAGTTTTATACCATTTTATCACATTTCCTACCACCTCTTTACTTACCTGGACTATTATAACAGCCTCCAGCTTTGTCCCCTCCATCCTATTCCTTAGAAAAAAATCCATGGCTCCATGGTACTATGTGCTTGCCTGTGTTATAGGTCACCATGTGTGATCTGTAATGTCACCTGAGCTACTTGAATTGCTCAACAAATATTTATTCAACATTATGGGCGCAGGCTTGTTCTGGGCCCTAGGGATGCAGTGGTAAATAAAAGAGAAGTCCCTAATGTTATGTAGCTTATATTCTAGTTTGTAAGATAGCTGATACATACATACAAATATATATGTCAGGTAATAAGGCAGGGGAAAGGATTAGAGGATGTCCGGGGCCTAGTTTCAATAGTGGCCGAAGCAGTCCTCCTGGAAAAGTCACCATTCAATTAGAGACTGAAGGAAGTGAAGGAGGGAGTTGTGCTCTGGGTGGAAGAACCCCCCAGGGAGAAGGTCTGGCACCTGCAGAGGCCCTGAAGCACGTGTGAGCAATAAGGAGGCCAGCATGGCTAGTGCACAAGGAGCTGGGGAGAGGACAGGAGAGGAGCTAAAAGTGGTAGCAGGGGACCAGGCATGTCAAACCTTAGCAGGTCAAGGTAAGGCCCTTGATATTTTTTTTTCTTTTTTTTGTGATAAAATATACATAACATAAAATTGCCATTTTAACCATTTAAAAATGTACAGTTTTGTGGCATTAAGTATACTCACATCATTGTAAAACCATCACCCATCAGCACCATCCATCTCCAGAACTTCTTTTTCCCCAAACTGAAACCGTATACCCATTAAAAAATAGACTGGGTGTGGTGGCTCACGCCTGTAATCCCAGCACTTTGGGAGGCCGAGGCAGTGGATCACCTGAGGTCGGGAGTTCGAGACTAGCCCGACCAACATGGAGAAACCCTGTCTGTACTAAAAATACAAAACTAGCTGGGTGTGGTGATGCATGCATGTAATCCCAGCTACTTGGGAGGCTGAGGCAGGAGAATCGCTTGAACCTGGGAGGCAGAGGTTGCAGTGAGCTGAGATTGCGCCATTGCACTCCAGCCTGGGCAACAAGAGCGAAACTCCATCTCAAAAAAAAAAAAAAAAAAAAAAAAAAAAAAAAAATATATATATATATATATATATATATCTCCTCATCCCTATTTCCCGACAGTCCCGGTAACCAGGCTTTTGATTTTTTTTTTTAAATTCTGAGTGAGATGGGAAGGCACTGGACAGTTTTCAGTGAAGGCAGGACATCTCTTAAAATATTGTAATAATATAATAGTAAGTGATGAGTTTTATGTACATCATGTCATTTCACATCTACCACAACCCTATGAATGACAGTGATAGCTCATGGTTATATAACATTTTTAATGTTCCAAGTCACTGTTTCTTCCTTTTTTTTTTTTTTGAGACAGAGTTTTGTTCTTGTCGCCCAGGCTAGAGTGTAATAGCACAATCTCGGCTCACTGCAACCTCCGCCTCCTGGGTTCAAGCCATTCTCCTGCCTCACCTCCCAAGTGGCTGGGACTACAGGTGCCCACCACCATGCCTGGCTAATTTTTAGTATTTCTGGTAGAGACGGGGTTTCACTGTGTTAGCCAGGATGGTCTCGATCTCCTGACCTTGTGATCCGCCTGCTTCGGCCTCCCAAAGTGTTGGGATTACAGGCGTGAGCCACTGCGCCTGGCC